>NC_000015.10:93865520-94017035 GCF_000001405.40 Homo sapiens | reverse complement strand
ATATGTCTGTATATGTCTTTATTATTCTTATATTAATTAAAAATGTTAAACTTTTACGTTAGCTTCAGGGGTACACGTGAAGGTTTGTTACATAGATAAACTCATGTCACGGGGGTTTGTTGTACAGATTATTTTGTCACCTAGGTATTAAGCCCAGTACCCAATAGTTACCTTTTCTGCTCTTCTCCCTCCTTCCACCCTCCTCCACCTCGGAGTCTGTTGTGTCCTTCTTTGCATGTATAAGTTATCATTTAGCTCCCACTAATAAGTGAGAACGTGTGGCATTTGGTTTTCTGCTCCTGCATTAATTTGCTAAGGATAATAGCTTCCCGCTCCATCCATGTTCCTGCAAAAGGCATGATCTCATTTTTTATGGCTGCATAGTATTCCACGGTGTGGTGTATATGTACCACATTTCCTTTATCCAATCCGTCTAAATGGGCATTTAGGTTGATTCCATGTCTTTGTTATTGTGAATATGTGGCAATGAACATTTGCCTGTATGTGTATTAATGGTAAAATGACTTATATTCCTCTGGGTATATACCCAGTAATGGGACTGCTGGGTTTAATGGTAGTTCTGCTTTTAGCTCTTTGAGGAATCGCCATAGTGCTTCCCACAATGGTTGAACTAATTCACACTTCCACTAACAGTGAACAAGATTTCCCTTTTCTCCGCAACCTCACTAGCATCTGTTATTTTTTGACTTTTTAGTAATAGCCATTCTGACTGGTATGAGATGGAATTTCGTTGTGATTTTTGACTTGCATTTTTGTAATGATCGATGATATCCATCAGTGATTAAAATTTTGAAAAGATTACATTTTGGGGGAAACATTTTCCCCAGGGTTTTGAAGGCATTGCTCTATTCTCTTTAAGCTTACAGTGTTGCCTTGAGAAGTTGGTAGACCTTCTGATTCCCACCCTTTATATGTGACTCTTCTCTCTATATATCTTAAAACATTTAAGATTAGGAAAATCATCTTCATTGTTCTGAAATTTTATAAGGATATGACCTGACAGTCATTTTTCACTTATGACATTGGATGCTCAGTGGGCCTTTTCAATCTGGACAGTCATGATCTTCAGTTCTAAAATGTGTTCTATGTAATTTATTTTATAATTTTCTTTTCATCATTTTCATGACAGGACCCCATATGTCAACATCAATAGGTCTTTTTTCTTTGACACAGTATGTTTCTTTAGAAAGGTGTTAAATTTATTTAACAAGTAAACATATTTAACAAGTAAATTTAACACCTTTAAAGTAAGATGCCATTGGCCTGAGGCAGTCCCCACACCTTGAGTTTCTACTTAATGAACTGCAACCAAAGCCAGCAGACAAATGAACCAAGATCTAACTATGTATTTCTTGTAACACATAGTAGGGTCTCAGCCAACTACAAGCAGCCAAGTTTAAGCCAGTCACGGGCTGTCAACTGATCAAACCATGTCCAAGGAAGACAAATGCCTAGCTGTAACCCATAAAACTATTTCTGTATAACACTTCCATTTTCAGTCTATAAATACCATTCATGTTGTGAAATGAAGCATGAAGCTCTCTGAACCACTTCCGGTTCTGGTTCTGAGTACTGCCTGATTCATAAACAGTTCTTTGCTCAAATCGACTCTGTTAATTTTTATGTTATTTTATTTACTTATTTATTTATTTTTGAGACGAAGTCTCGCTCTGTCACCCAGGCTGGAGTGCAGTGGTGTGATCTTAGCTCACTGCAACCTCCACCTCCCAGATTCCAGAGATTCTCCTGCCTCAGCATCCTGAGGAGCTGGGATTACAGGCACGCACCACCACATCTGGCTAATTTTTGTATTTTTAGTGGAGACAGGGTTTCACCATGTTGGCCAGGCTGGTCTCGAACTTCTGACCTCAAGTGATCCGCCCACCTCGGCCTCCCAAAGTGCTGAGACTACAAGTGTGAGCCACCGGGCCTGGCCAATTCTGTTAAATTTAACTTGTCCAGAGTTTTCTTTGGTTTGTTTTGGCTTTTTGAGTTTTGCTCTAACAAAGAATAAAGCCCATACTGTCTTATTTGAAGTATGTGCTGCTCTTGCTGGCATCCTGGGAGCAGAGCAGGAGGATAGCAGTTGGATTCAATAGGTAAAATTTTGTTAATTTTTCTTCTTCTTTTCTTTTTTTTTTTTAAATTCTGGAGCCCTCCACACACCCCTCCCCTTTTCCCCTCTCAACCCCTTGGCCACCTTCACTTGTGCCTGATACTGCTGTGTCTAGAGCCTCCTGGGTTAAAACTCTTGATACAGAAAGCGTCGTATCTTATACAGGGAAGAAGAGGAGTAACCATCTCATTCCATGGGCTGTGAAGGAAAATGGAAAATCTCGCTGATCCTTATATACACTTCCATCAGTTTTCTTGTGTCAGGTCAATCCCACACCTTCCTTAAGTGGCACCTCAAATTCAGGACCTCTCCAAGGTTCTGTACCATGAACAGGCATGTAATGTTTTGGCATTCCTCCTTGCATGTACTGAGGAACTTTCTCCGCTTTGTCCAGGCAGTTGCTAGCCATCCAAAGCCGATCTGTTGGCATCTAATGGGCTTTCAGGAGGGAGTAGAGATAAGCCTAAGTAAGAACTTGTTTTCTGAAGTATCTAATTTAGGATTTCTTTCCTTCCCCACCCCAACTTATATTTTTGTCTTGATATCCATATGGAGATCAAAGTTCCAAGATATGTAAAACAAACAAAACAGGAAGAAGTTAGGAATGATATCCTTGGATATAAAGTAAGAAAGAGACTGGCGCTGGAAGAACAGATTTTGTAAAGTCTCATTTCAGATGTTATTCTTCGTACACCTTTTCAGCAGGAGGATAAAAACAGATTAAAATGTTAAAAAAAAAAAAAAAAAAAGGCATGAAGAAGCTGGGTGCGGTGGCTCACGCCTGTAATCCCAGCACCTTGGGAGGCCAAGGCAGGCAGATCACGAGGTCAGGAGATTGAGACCCCATCTCTACTAAAAATACAAAAAATTAGCCGGGCGTGGTAGCGTGTGCCTGTAGTCCCAGCTACTCGGGAGGCTGAGGCAGGAGAATGGCGTGAACCCGGGAGGCAGAGCTTGCAGTGAGCCGAGATGGCGCCACTGCACTCCAGCCTGGGGGACAGAGCGAGACTCCGTCTCAAAAAAAAAAAATTAAAATTAAAATTAAAGCATGAATAAATTGATATAGTAAGAGGGCTAAGCAGTAGTACTTACTGATTCTTATTTTGTAGGCCAGAAGAAGAATACCGACTAAATATCTGCCAGTCTGTTGAAATTGTAAAGGGAATGTCTCCCAATATGCACTTCGGCTTAAGTAGGGAGAGCACCACACTAACCAAAGGAAGAGGTTAAGGACCCATTTGAAGGATGAGGATCCACATGAGGATCCAAACCCAGATGCGTCTTCTGCATGTCATGTGTGTACACACGTGTGCGAATTCCTAGGCATACATGTTAGTTCTCCTTCACATAAACTGGTCCATTGTACAGCAGAGGTGAAATGCTTCCCCTTTCATCTGTAAACATTGTAAAACTCTCTACCAAAAACTTCAAAAGTCCCCTAAAATTAAATATAAAGTCTGATTTTACATATGATTATAAATGCAAAAATATTAAATAAATGCATGAGCCACTGCACCCAGCAATTCACATCATTTTTTAAAATATATATATTTAAAAATAAAAACGAAGATGATTGATTCTAATATGATAAAGAACATACTATTTGGAATGTAAAAAAGCACCAAATAAAGTTTGATGCTTATTTGGAAAACTGAGTTTAGGTAACAGTGTTTAAAGCATGTTAAGTAACAGGTCAAAAGAAAACAAAGGTTCAAGTCTATAATCCCAGCACTTTGGGAGGCCGAAGCGGGTGGATCACCTGGGGTTAGGAGTTCAAGACCAGCCTGGCCAACATGGTGAAACCCCGTCTCTACTAAAAATACAAAAATTATCTAGGCGTGGTGGTGGGCACCTGTAATCCCAGCTACTCGGGACACTGAGGAAGGGGAATTGCTTGAATCGGGGAGGCAAAGGTTGCAGTGAGCAGAGATCACAACATTACACTCTAGCCTGGGCGACAGAGAGACTCCATCTCAAAAAGGAAAAACAAAAACAAAAAATTCTTATTTGCAGAGCAGCTCAGAGGTTTTTATATGCTAATTATAGAATGAATTTGAATTTCAAAGGTGAATTTCCAAGAAGCTATTTAATAGCCAATTTCACTGTCAATCCTCTTCCCCTCCCTGCCAGCATGCTTTAAGACTCATTTTTCTTATGACAAGGGTGTTAATTCTTACCACTATAATATGAATTAACATTGTTCTGGAAGATTCAGCCAATGCAATGTTCCATGAGGTCATGAGTATTATAAAGCATGATGATAATTTATCAATTTTTGCAAGTGACTTACTTGCCTTCTCAGTAAAACTAAGTGAATCAACTAAATATTATATATAGTGGAAAAACAACCTCTTTCCTAATAGCAAAAATAACAAAATGATACGTAGGCACAAGTCGAGCAAGACCTGGGTACAACAATAAGACACAATGTAATTTTACCAATAGACACAGAAGTCCTGGAGAAATAATGCAATAGAATGTTACTGGATAAGAGTGGTACACAGATGTTAGTTTTCCGGAAAGAATTTTAGGTTTAATACAATAAAAGTCACAACGCAATCTAGGTGGGAGTAACAGTAGAAAGGGAAATGTTTGATTATATGGCTCTAAAGAATATTTGAGGGAATAAATACTAAATAATTGCCCCTTATTCAATCATGTAAGAGGCAAGGAAAATTGATCAGCCAATCAGATATTAAAACATGTTGTAAAGCTGCTCTCTGTAAGGTTATACTAATAAAGGAGCACATAGGGAGAAAAATGAAATAGAATTGATGGTATAGAAACAGCCTTTTTCAGTACATATCCTTGTGAATATTACCTTGAAACACAATAAACCTGCTATACCAAATAATAAACTTTGCTGGGGCAACTTGTTTACTCTTGGGAAAGATTGAAGATACTGCCTTTCCTCACCACTCAAACTAAAATCCATCAGATAGACTGAGTATTTAAATGTAAAAAGTGAAACCACACAAGAAATGAAAGAAAGCGTAGGTGAAGCTATATCTGATCTTGGAGGGAGAAGGTCTTTCTAACTGTAACACCAAAGGAAAAGGAGAAATGACATCACTGATGGGCTTTCTGACGCTCTGGAGAGGGGAAAACTCTTTACACCAATCGACTTCTTAAGATTAAAGGACAAATACACAGTGGAAAAAACCGAAAAATACGAAGAGTGTTCATCAAAACGAATGACACATAAAGTAAATATAAATATGAATAAACTCATGGTGAATTTACAAAAGTGAAAATATAAATAGTAAATATAAAAGCAAAAGCCCAATGCAGTGATTATCAAAGAAATGCAAATTAAGATATAATGGTGATATGTCATGTTCACTAACAAATTAGCAAAGATTTTTAAATGCTCAAGTTTTGTAATCGAGCAATAGTACGCACAAGCCAAATACTGCTGGTGATAATATAAACTGGTATGGTTTTTTAAGAAAATACTTTAGTATCATATATATTAAGAGTCCTGAAAAAGTTTGTGATTTTTAACCTGGTATTTCTCCTTTCGAGAATACAACCATAAGTCAAAAACATCAATGAAGAATTATGAGTGAAATGTTAATTACATTCCTTATTTATTAATACAAATTTATATGTATTAATGAAAATGGGAGGAAGGTAATTACTCCAAACGTGAAGTATAATCACATATTTTGTGACAGGTCCAAATAATGAAATGTCATAACAACTTTAACATGTATATTTTAAAAGAATATTATTTAATAGCATCAGAAAAGGTCATGCTAAAATGTGACATAAAGAGGCAGGGCACAAACATGTATTGGTAGGATGATCCTGGATCATCTTCAAAGAAAACTGGAGAGAAACAAAAAAATCAGTGTGATTATCAATGTGTGATTTCAAACAAATATTCAAAACTATTTCAGCACTCCCCACCAGCATGCTTTGAGATTCATTTAATGAACTTTTATATGTTAAATGTTAGGTAAACACAGGACATTCTATTGTAAAAATTAGGTTAGTTGAATGCATGAATGTATTCCTCCTGCAGTTTTATTTTACTTCTGGAGAGAGTCTGGGGAGTCTACCCTGAGCTGTGTTTCTGACATGGCATTGCTGCCAGCGTAGAAGCTAAAGAATTGGATAAGAAGAGGACCTTGCCCATCCAATTTTCAAGAGAGAAAAACAGAGGGACTCTAGAAAACTTTCTAGAACTAATGAAAGTACGTAAAATCAGCCATGCAAATTTAAAAGCCTACGTTGTATTAGTAATATTACTTTTCTGAGACAATGGCCTAAACATAGAAAATAAGCATTTTCAGCAAGCTAGACGAACATTTGGGGATAGATCAGTGCATGATGATGCTTCTGTCATAATTTTTAAATGTTCTATCTGTTTACTCATTAGTAAGATCTTATCATCTTTAAAAAACACAGATTTTCATCATTTGTTACATCATTCTCTTACTTTCCTTCCATAGTCAAATATTTTATAGTTGTTTGTGGTAATTTCTGGTTGTTTGTGGTTTATTCCTTAAAAAGTTATTATTTAAGGAATCAATGTGGAAGAAAAATGTATGTGTTATTATTGCTTATGAAACTTTTGAAGTTTGAGGAAGAATCAAGGAATGGTGATGATGTTGGAACTCCCCCTTCCTGAAATAAAAAGCGATTTTAATTTTATTTAACTTGAAATAAACAGCAATTTCCTGAAATAAGCAGGAGCCATTCAGAATTGGGAAAAATTAGCCACATTATTTCGGAAAATAAATCGAGATGCGGAACTTTTCTTGGGAGAACAGGTGTTTTCAATTACTCTAATGAACGCAGTCTTGGCTTTCTTATAGTAATCACCACACAGAACATCTCTAACATCATTGACATATTCCTTGAGATCAAACTTTCTTCTTTATTTTCATTTATCTTGCTTTTAAATATATTTTTCGAAGAGAAATTTCATCTCAATAAACTCAAGACATGGTTCTCTTTTCTGGTTCATTCCTGTATTTTTATTTGTATGTTTCTCCTTATATGATCCTAATCCAAACAGCTCTGAGTTTGTTCATATAGCATATAACACTCTGCTTCCAGCAAGAATTTTAGGTGGTTTGTTAGTAGGGCTGCCAGCGAGGCAGAGAGAGCCCCTGGCAGACACCTGTGCTAAAGCACAAAGACCTCTATCTCTTTGCTCAGTGTGAGCAGGAAACATTTCATCTCCAACAAATCAAAGCTTAGAACATCGCCAAGTCTCACGGCTCAGGAAGCTGGTGACCCTTTGGTTATCTACACCAATTTCCATCCTCTATGGAACAGCTAGGTCTTCATATCCCAAAGGCAGCAAACGCAGTGTCCTCTGTCATCCTCGGCAGAGCACACAGTGGCAGGCCCAGAGAGATCCTTATAGGTCTGCTGCTCGAGTACTTGGTTTTAAGTTGCCAGGTGGGAATTGTGCATCCAGAGAAATCTCTCTGACGCTGAAACTTCAAAGACATACAGATGGTGTTACATTATGAATTTCCATCTTTCTACATTGGATAACCCCTTCCACATAAAAGAAAAAGAAGGCTACACATTTTTACAAATTCTTTATAGTACTCCAAGCCTTAAGAAAAATGTATTTCCACCAATGTGTTTTCATGGCTCTCTGATAACAAAGTCTAGAATTTTGTATAGTTTACTCTCTAACATCCATAACATCCATGCATGATAATGTCTGTTGCCTAGTGTAACTGTTTATAAGTTATATCTAGCAGCATTTGTATTTTAATATTTACAAAGTAATTGTTGCAGTGGTTGCTAGAAAAACAAACTGTCTTTCCATTTGATTAGTGTTATGTAAATTTTCATTAATGTTATATTCTACCCTTTAGGTGAAAATGTACGAGTTTCATATGTGTGTACAATTTGTATGTGTGTGCATGTATATGTGTATGCACACACACACACACACACACACACATATTTTTTCCCTCAAGCAGGACTTACATTTTGATATCTGTTGCATTAACTAAACTGAGTCCTTTATGAATCATCACACATGTTACAAGACACTGATCACTGCTGCTCTTTCCTTATCTCCTTGACTGTCTTGCAAAAGACTAGTCACTGGGTGAAGAACCCAGGATCTAAAACAACATTATTCTTTAGTATTATAGTTTAAGTGCATCTGAAGGCAGTCTGGTGACATTTAAACAGCAACACCAATTATCTTCAAGTCAGTGGGCTGTGTTCTGATGTTATTAGCTAGGGTGACCGCACGTGTTGTGGAGCTTGTCAGGGGCATTTCAATGTCACCTGTGAAGGGCTCACAGCTACTCTCCATGCATGGATCAGAGAAAAACTATGCCAGCTCTCATTGCGGTTAAACATGCTACATTCCTGGTTAATTTGTATTTCCTGGATTTATAAGGTAGAGTACTGTAATACCTGATCTTAGCATATAAACTCCCTAAATTATCCAGCAGAAACTGCAGTGTGTCTTAGATTTGAGTTTTAAAATGGAAATTAATTCATAGTGCCAGGACACACTCTCTGAGGTCAAAGTTGACAGGACAGGAGAGGCATGCTTCGTCCAATAGACTTTCCAGCTGAGCGTAGATTCCACCCTGGCAGGCCAAAGTCAGCAGGGTTGGGAGTCATAAACGGGAGGTCTGGAACGGTCCCCCAAACCTTAGGCAACTGAAATCTGGCAGGGAGAGTCTGACAAGTGAGTCAAATAGTTTCCCAAACACATCTGTGCGAGTGAAGAAGGATCTAGCAGAGCCAGTCAAAACCAGCAGGGGAGTTTAGGTAGGAAAGGCTGAAAATTGGCCACATGGCAGGAAAGTTGCCTGTCAACATGTGTTAAATGCCCAGGATGGGAGCAAGCACTGCACCAGGTAACTTGCAGGAGCAGTGAGGTGAATATGATCTTTAGATGGTGTCTTCGGAAAACCTCAGATTCAATTGGTTTGCAGGACAAGGGGAATCCAGGGCCGCATATGTCACCCGGCACTTCCCTGTTACTCAGATCTCCCTGATCAATTTACGTTCTCATCAACAGCATGAGCTTTATGGCTTAGTTTTTGGTCAGAACATATCCCATAATAATTTGCAAACCCCAGACTCTGGGGGAGGAAGCTAAAGGAAGGTTTAAAATAAAAAGGAAAAGAGGAAATATGCTTAAAATTGGAACTGTTTGAACTAAAAAGGAGGTAAAGAATTAAGGAATGAGCTCAGAACTACAATTACAACAAGAAAGCTAATAGAGGCCAGGCGCGGTGGCTCATGCCTGTAACCCAGCACTTTGGGAGGCCGAGGCAGGTGGATTGCCTGAGCTCGGGACCAGCCTGGCCAACATGATGAAACCCGTCTCTACTAAAAATACAAAAATTAGCTGGGTATGTTGCGTGCGCCTGTAATCCCAGCCCCAGCTACTGCGGAGGCTGAAGCAGGAGAATGGCTTCAACCAGGGAGGCAGAGATTGCAGTGAGCCAAGATCGTGCCATTGCACTCGACAGTGGGCAACAGAGTGAGACTCAAAAAAAAAAAAAAAAAACCCAAAAAACCCTAATAGAACGAAATGGCCCTTTGGTGGAAAAAGAAGAGGCACAGGAGCTTTAAAAAAATATCTGAAAGGCTGAGACTTCAGAGGGCCATAGTAAAGAGAGGAAGGTAGACTTCAGTGGTATCTTATAGCTGGAGCTATGAGATCTAATGGCTCAATTTTCAGGAATTTTGTGACCTGGTTGTTAAATACAGCCATTATTAAACAGTAAAATATACAAACAACGACTAAATAATCTTATAACAAAGCTAATAAATATTCAAAACACATCACTTTCTAATTATTCCACTACATTTTGCCCTTATCTATGCTCTTCGGATTGCGTTGTTTTACCTACATAGTGGAAATACTATGTAATATGAGATACTCTGTCTCTCTTCCCAAGTCTACTTTCAGTGACATCAGACTGGCAGCCTAAAATCCACCATGGTGAGAATACTTACACGATGAAAATTGAAAAAAGCTACAAACACAACCTTGGTCTATTATTTTGCTGCTTGTCTCGACTTAAGAAAATGACTATGGAGCAACTATTTATAATGTAAAATAAACTTAAAATATGTCAAGTCTGTAGCCGTTACATGGTGAATTGCATAGGAAATTAACGAGATTATATTTTGTAGTATCGGAAAACTATTATCTGACTCAAAAAAAAATGAGTAAGAATTTTGACATACATCTTGATTAATTCGCTTCCCTTTGATTAACTCAAGTAAAAGAACACATCAATATTCATGTTGAAACTTCACTTGGTTAATCAATTGCAGTTTTAGGTTGGCTATAGATACAGGAAGTCAGACAAAATCAACAATAGCATTCTGTGAGAAACAGCTAGTGATATGGAATTTATAATAAAGAGTACTGTATATTTTATTATTATTTATCAGCTGTTTGCCACATATCCTTTATATGGATAAATTTATAATAAACATGTGGTGTCCGGAGTTGGTTCCTTCCTGTGGGTTCGTGGTATCCCTGACTTCAAGAATGAAGCTGCGGACCTTCACGGTGAGTGTTACAGCTCTTAAAGGTGGCACTACCCAAAGGGTGAGCAGCAGCAAGATTTATTGTGAAGAGTGAAAGAACAAAGCTTCCACAGCATGGAATGGGACCCAGCGGGCCACTGCTGGCTAGGGTGGCCAGCTTTTATTAACTTACTTGTCCCCGTCCATGTCCTGTTTCTGTCCTATCAGACTGCCCTTTTCTCAATCCTCCCTGTGATTGGTTACCTTTAGAATCCTGCTGATTGGTCCATCTTACAGAATGCTGATTGGTCCATTTTACAGAGCGCTGATTGGTGCATTTTACAAACCTCTTGCTAGCTACAGAGCGCCAATTGGTGCGTTTTTACAGAGCACTGATTGGTGCATTTTACAAACCTCTTGTAAGACAGAAAAGTTCTCCAAGTCCCCACTCCACCCAGGAGGTCCAGCTGGCTTCACCTCTCAATGTGTTTATACTTTTATCTGCATTTTTCCCCAGAGAGCTGGTCATTAAACATTTATCAGCACATCATTGAGTGGAATCCAGACAACAATTTAACAGCAGAAAATGGTAGGGTGTAGTTGGGAAACTTAGTGGTGGGACTGTAAGAATGGAACCTAAAATCATAATTGATTTTACCTTCAGATTGGACAGCAGATAGTCCACTTAATAAAGCAAATGTCAGACTTTCTATGTGCTTGATGACAACAATGTAATAAAAGTCAGTGAATGTGGCTGAGCATGTTGGCTCATGCCTGTAATCCTAGCACTTTGGGAGGCTGAGGCAGGTGGATCACTTGAGCCCAGAAGTTCGAAACCAGCCTGGCCAACATGGTGAAACCCTGTGTCTACTAAAAATACAAAAAAATTAGCCAGGTGTGGTGGTGGGTGCCTGTAATCCCAGCTACTTGGGAGGCTGAGGCAGGAGAATTGCTTGAATCCAGGAGGTGGTGGTTGCAGTAAGCTGAGATTGCGCTACTGCACTCCAGCCTTGGCGACAAGAGAGATTCTGCCTCAAAAATTTGAAAAAAAAAAAAAAAAAGGCTTATACCCTAAGAAATTTATGTGTGCAGTATTTGTGATATATCAGTTTGCAAATGTGATATGTGATGGAGATAACAAGAGGGAGTGTCCCTCTTTCTACCCCATGCACTCACTCACCTTCACCTTTTTGGGAATAAACTGAAAACACAAAGCATTGTTACTCATATGTAAACCATGTAGGGAGTATCTCTGAGGTTCTGGACCAGCACACACTCTTCAGGATTAGAGTCCAGAACTCTGAAGATGAAGGCACTATGCCCCAGAGCATAAGAATGTTGAGTCACGGCATTTCTTACAGGGGATTTAGCTACTATCAGCCTGAATGCCTCTCCAAGGTGACTCCAGAAATCCAAGGTTCTAGCGCACAGGCCCTGTCTTCCTCAGGAATGCTATTCAAATAAATCCCCCGCCCTCCTCTCAGGCCAAGTTCTGTCTTGTTGCGAACCAAGGAGGAGCAAACAGCCCAGCTGCCTTCCACTCTGAGCAAACTGTGTTTCAGTGAAAACAGCAATTACACAAGAGTTAAAGATGAGGGAACTTCTTGGCCGGGCGCAGTGGCTCACGCCTGTAATATCAACACTTTGGGAGGCCAAGGCTGGTGGATCACTTCAGGTCAGGCGTTTGAGATCAGCCTGGCCAACGTGGTGAAACCCCATCTCTACTAAAAGTACAAAAATTAGCTGGGTGTGATGGTGTGCACCTGTAATCCCAACTACTCAGGAGGCTGAGGAAGGAGAACTGTTTGAACCCGGGAGGTGGAGGTTGCAGTGAGCCGAGATCGTGCTACTACACTCCAGCCTGGACAATGGAGTGAAACTTGGTCTCAAAAGAAAAAAAAAAAAGAATGGGGAAACTTCTTATAAGACTGATTCAGGAAGCGGTCTGGGTCAAATGATAACCACAGTTAGTCTCCCTCTCACACACATGAAAGTCTGCAGAAACATAGAAACAACATCCCCTTGTTTAAACTAACTCCAAATAAGGTGATCCAAATCTGGTACCCAAACTCATCGTGCAGGTGTAATAAACAGCACTTCCAGATCAGAATGAGCCTTAAAGTATCATCTGTCCTCTATGATGGCACGATGTACCTTCTATGTCCATTTCTGGAGCCTTGCTGTTGATAGCTATCAACAACAATGTTTGGAGCAGTCTGAAGAACTTTAGAAAGGCAACCAAAAGGCTATTTGGGAATAGCTTTTGAATACAAACTCTATCCATCTATCAATCTATGCCCCCATCTCATAGAGCTAATCTGATTGAAGTCTTTTTACTAGGGAGCCAGGCAGACATGATTTTTTACAAGCTGAATCGCCTGGGGTTTAAAGGTGCCTGCAAGAAGTTTGTTTGTGAACAACTGGGTCTGTATGCAGCATTGTGTGAAGGGGAGGGGGCAGCAGAAGGAGAATGGAGAATGCTGCATGGTCTATGCTTTCTGTTCAAATATGCAGCACCTGGGACATGCAACAATCATTCAACAATAAGTGTATTTATTTTGTGTGTACTTTATGTCAGGCACTATTCTAGGCACCTGAGATGTATTGAAGAACTGTTTCTGAAGAGCTTATGCTCTAGTGACATGATATTTCATATAAAAATTACATATGCATATATTTATATATATAAATCTAGAACATATATAATGAGAATATATAACTACTATATATACTATAGCATACAACTATTATATTCTATATACTACATATAGAATATTATATACTATATATACTACTATATTCTATATAGAGAACATTATATACTATATATACTACTATATTCTATATAGAGAACATTATATACTATATATACTACTATATTCTATATATAGAATACTATATACTATACATACACAACTATATTCTATATATTATATAGGATATATAATTATATATAATATATAATGAGAATATATTAGATATATATTATAGATCTATATATAGTATACATATACAATATATATTCTCATATATATATTTAATATATAATACATTATATTATATAAATATATACATTATATCATATATAGAGTGTATGTTAATAATATAATATATGCTAATATATTATATATTAGTATATATAGTATATAGTATTCTATATATAGAAAATAGTAGTATATATAGCATATAATATTCTATATATAGAATATAGTAGTATATATAGTATATAATATTCTATATATAGTATATAGAATATAGTAGGTATATGTTATAGTATATATAGTAGTCATATATTCTCATTATATATGTTCTAGGTTTGTATATACAAATATATACATATATATTTTTATATATCAAATACCATGTCACTAGAGCATAAGCTCCTTAGAAACAGTTCTTCAACACATTCAGGTACCTAGAATGGTGCCTGGCATAGATTACGTTAGATTAAGTTTCATATAATTATATGAAATTATATAATTCATATAATCATATGAAATTATATAATTCATATAATCATATGAAATTATATAATTCATATAATCATATGAAATTATATAAATTTATATAATCATATATAATGGTATATATAATATAATAATATATTGTATATTATATAATAATATAATATATTATAATATATTATATTATCAATATTGTATATCATATATACAACTATATATAATGAGAATATATTATATGTACTATATATAGAACTATAACATGTAACTACTATATTCTCATTACATTATATATAATTATATATGATGTATGATATATTATTATATATTCTATATAGTATATAGAATATAGTAGTATAGTACATAGTATTCTCTATATAGAATATAGTAGTATATATAGTATATGTATTCTATATATATACTATATATAATATATAATGAGAATATAGTAGTTAATTATACCATTTTAAGCCACTACATATATACCTTTATATATATACCTATGTACCTATATATATACCTATATAACTATATATATACCTATATATATATACTACTATATATACCTATATATATCTCTAGCTGGGGAAAAATGACTTCATCAGTTCACCAGAGGACACATTGGTTGGTTCTCCAACATTTGTTCCTCCTTTTCCCTACAGACAAATGGTTTGCGTGGGCTGAGTAGACATCATGAATTGTCTAATCCAATTATGGTAATGCCATCCTCCCTGACAGTGATTAGTTCAGGAAATAAAGCCTAGGGCAACCACTGGTCACAAGGCAGTCCAGTCAATGAAATGCTCAGGAACATCGCTGGGAGCTGCGGAACATCCATAGTCTCTCTTTTTTCATAGATAGTGTGTTGCATGGTTGAAGTAGAAACTCAGAGGTGGGAAAAGTTGAAAGATACACAGAGAAGTACAGCTGGAGCCCTGATTTAAAAAAATAAAATAAAATGTACCTGAAACTTACTCCCTCTGTAGACTTTTTAATTGCATAAGTAAATAAATTCCCTTTAATGTTTCAGCTAGTTTAAACTACTTTCATTCTCTTGCAACCTGAACCATCTTAACTGACACTCAGCAAGATGTGGCATTAGGGTTTGGAAAAGTATGTCAGTAACTCAGTATTGTAAGGAAGTGGAAATATGTGCCTGGCCATGTCATCTGTGCATATTTCTCCTCCCAGGACCATTCTATTCCTGGCCATCTCTGTCACTTCAGTGGAGAAGCCATGAGCAACGTTCTCAACGTCCAACATTCCTCTCTTATGGTTAGTCCTTGCCCCAACACGACATAGTTCTGAGACATATTGTCCAAATAATCATTCAGTTTCCCTTAGGAGAAGGAGGGAAAAAATAGGAGGGAAATCAGTGAGGAAGACTCACCAGATGTATTTTTTTTTTTTTTTTGGCAACTAACAGAAACATCTGAGCAGTTCAAATCCCCCCCTTTTCTGTTAGAGAACACTTGCTGCTGATGTATATTAGTTGTATTTTGTTGACATGTGTTTTTAATAATAATGATGATGATGAGAAAACCCCCAAAAGTTGATAGCAAACAGAAAAATGCTAGTACTGACAAGGATTTGTTATTTCCCTAAAGCCAGGGAGTGCATTTTTGGGATGACCTGGGGTCAGTCTCCATCATCAAAATCTCACTGTTCTGAGCATTTCTCTGCTGAGTACATTTCCTTTAGTGAACTGAGAATTATTTACTTTAAAAAACCCCTCTAAACCTTTACTCTGAATTGCAACCACAAAGGTAGAGATGCTCTTGTTTTTGTCTGGGGCATTTCCCCCCACTATCTGCTATATCTTATTAAATCGTTCAGTGTCTGTGTCCATATTGCATTATTTTTTTCACAGACGAAACATTTTGTCAGCTGTCAGAGACCGTGAAAAAGTGACCATGTTAAGACATCTGGCTTGATTACTGGGGACACTGAAGCTGAGGCCTTCCAGAAGAGCAGACTCAGAACAAAGTCTTGTTCTTAACATTGTCTCAGAAGAGGCAGTCTTTAACACCTCATCTCCAAACATCGTACCATGTTTACCTCTGGCACACGCCAGCCCCCCATTGTAACCGATTGCTCCAACTTGGCTCACTCGCTCAGCTCGGAAACTCAGGGCTCAGCCAGCTCTCCTATTCAGCCCAGCACTGGGGCCAGCCTGGCTCTAACTGGAAGCCACCTTCAGTTTGCATTCTGACCTGCAGCTCTCACCTTCATAAGCCAGACTTTCAGAGTGTTCCAATAACTTGGATTAACTTAAATATTTACAAACTTTGGGGGGTTTTGTGTACTTTATGTATGTTCATTGTAGAAAATGTCCATTAAGGAAAAAATCCCCCATATGCTACATTCCAAAGATAACTACTACTAATATTTTATGTATGCATTTTCAGATTTCTTTGCAAATATTTTTTCAACCTCATACACAAATATATATCCATCTATATCTATATATCTATATGGATATGGATAAATACATTTTTAAATATTCTAATGTGGATGCATATGCCAACATAATATATAAATAATTATACTATGCATATAGTTTTATAAGGTACTTTTTATTTTCCACAAAGAAATTGTATTTTATTTTCAGTAAATACACATGTACTTTATCATTGTTAATGAGATGAGGTATTCAATTATATTAATATCTCATGTCTTACCTGTAATAAATGGACATTTTATATGATGACCCAGTTTTTTATTATTAAATAAATTGGTGCTTCAATTTTAACCAAGTTATGTCACTGTCATCTAGGATACATTCTTAGAAGAGCATTTCCAATGTAATAGGATTTAGATACTTTCTAAAGTTTTTGCTACATATCTGTATTTTGCTCCAGAAAAGTGGTACAAATTTATGCTTCTAGCAGTAGTGCATGAATCAGCTTAAGCTTTGACTGTATTTAAATGTTATCTCCAGGGTCGATGATTAGAGGGATCATGAAGATGGCTTTCATGTTACCAGTCAGTTACTATTCAACCAGGTCAACAGTGGTCAGTACCATTGTTGATGTTACAAAGGTTGTGAAATCCTTAACGACATGACATAATTTAGTACCAAGTGACAACTGACTTAAAGAAAATCAGATATAAGATTCATAATATATTTGCAGAGCAAAAAGCACCCTAGCAAAAACCAAAACTAGGTATTTCATGTAATTTTAATCACAGATGCAGCATTCATATGTGATGCACTAAGATAGGGCCCCAAACAAGTAATCTTTGCCTAAATTTTCTCTTTGGTTCTAGGCCTATATTTCTTTCTTAGTGCAAGATATCTATCTATCTATCTATCTATCTATCTATCTATCTATCTATCTATCATCTATCTATTGTCTTCCTCTATATAGTTATGTAATCCCATACCTCCAGAGTCCAATTTCCAACTCTTTTCCCAACTTTCCGATTTCTGTTATGAACGCTGTCAATTCTCCTGTTTCCCAGGCTCAACATGTCTGAACTGTCTTTAGCACATCAAAATCATTGCATTTCTCTGTAATATCCCAAAATCTGGGCTTCATATCTTTCTCTCAACATTTCTGGTCTCCTTGCTACCTGGGTTTTCCCGTTTCTCATTCACTTGTTATTTTATGACTAATTTTTAAATTTTCCTGAGTTGTGACTCGGACTCAGCTACTCGCCACATCAAATGCTCTAAACGACTCCTGACTGCTTTCTGAAATAAACCCAAATATCGTATCTGGGTATCCCAGGCCTGAATGCTTTCATCCCATTTAGCTGTCGCATGATGTCCCTCTCAGTTCTCCCCTTCACGCATTCTCCCATCTAGCTGAACTGGAGTATTGCTGTGCTCTGAACATGTTCCACGCAGTTTTCATTTTAAAATTCGCCCTGATTATTCCTTCTCCAGGATGCTTCTGCTCATCTACTAGTCCCATGTCTTTACTATCTACTCCACCTTTAATATTTCTTCAGAGTTTTAATTCAAAAGAGACAAGAAGCCTTCCTCCAGTGCATTTCCACTACATATTATTTAGTCTTTGGACATGATAGGCATTTGTTTCCTTGTATCATCCCTGTGGTTAGTCAGTTCAGCCGCTTGTGAGCAAGGGCTATGACTTGTTTCTCCATAAATCTCCTGCAGTTACCGGGTGCCTCGAGTAGAACAGTTGCTCTAAAATAGCTGTTGGGTGCCATGAAGATAGGAAAGGCTAGAAGGGGAATTCGGTAGGCTAGTGAGTGTTAAAAACATGCTTTAATACTTGAAAAGATGTAAAAATGACTTTCATGCTCAGTGGAAACTCAAGTCATGTTAGATACTCCAAGTTACATGATACATTTTATACTTTTAGAAATCTCAGAATCTAGGAAGTGACAATGGGTTTTTCACAGATAAGTTAACTCTATGAGGGCTACTTTTTATTCCAAGTGGCTGTTTTTTAAGGGCCAGTACCGTCATAAGGCTTTGCTTGATCATCCTGTACAGTGATGAGGCTGTTTGGAAATTACACTCCTCCCCTTCCAGTAACTAGCGTTCCTCACCTTATGTGAATTCTTGGTTTTTCTAAGAGAGAGAAAAAAAATCCCTTTAAATTTCATTGATACTCCTTTCTTTATTTCTCAAGCTCCTATTTCTTGGAAACCTATAACACCTTCACAACTGGCATGCTCCAAGTTGAATGGGTCTGTGAGGAAAAGTAACTTCCACTATTGATAAGGTTGCTGCCCCAATCCCCAGACCCCAAAAGGATAAGGAAGACAAGACACCTGAAAGATTTATGACATTGTTTTTGGTTTTCATATTTTTACACTAATTTTGAAGAAGCATAAAAACTAGCATTTTACTGGTAACTCAATTTCTACCAATGAGTGGAGTTGGATTTAAGGTAGTGAATTGAATAAGAATTTTGGGTAATAAATTCATCGATTTTGTGCCTATACAATTATTTTAATACTGATACTAAGTCAAGATATTCAACTGCTCAAAAACCTTCCGTGGGTCCCCGCTGTCCCTAACATTTAGCCCACGCATGACCTGCTAGCCCCTTTTATAGTCAAGCTATACCTTGACTTGAAAAGTATACCTTTACATTCTTACTTCTAAATAAAATAATGTAGGCATGTGATGCCAGGCTATAACATTTAGTTTAATCCAGGAAGCAGTTGGAACCATTTACCACATTTAACATGGGGAGTAGCTGAGTCAGATCCATGCCCTAGGGATAAAGGAGTAGAGTAGTAAACAGGAGCCCTCCATGAGAGGGAGATGGGCACATTCACAGCATCACTCCTTGCATCCTTTAAAGGTTCCACTAGTCCGGATGCTGATTCTGGTACTCTAAACCCTATTCAATGCCCGTATTTATGCATGAAACATTCCCAGGTTATTTCACCTTAAAGGGACAAATAATTTCCTTTTTAGGCATTCTATAGCACAAATCGTCTGAGAGATCGTAGAAGCATTCAATTTGTGATTGCTTTGCTATATATCGTCTTACATGATCATTTAATGGGTTTTTAATGTATATTATTTGTTTCTTTGATTAGATTATAAATTCCTTGAGACCTGTGATTATATTGTACACATCTTTAGAACCAAGGGACAAGTTTACATAATGTATTTACTGTAGATATGCTATCAACATTTGGCAAATATTGTTAATGCATAATGAAGTTTACTTTGGGAAACGTGATTGCTCTGTTACCTCTGGCTCCCTCTAGTGATGCCCAAAATATGACATCTAGCTGCACATTTCTGTTTCATCCCATTTGTTGGAATTTTATGACTATCAGATGTGATGCAGAGAACAAATTCAGCTACAAGCAAAACAAAAATTATAATTATGATATATAACAATATTATATATTAAATGATTATGTGAGACAGTGATCATGTAAGACCATGATATATAGCAAAGCGATAGCAAATTGAACACTTCTATGATTGCACAGAAAATTTGTGCTATAGAATATCTGAAAAGGGAATAATTTGTCCCTTTAAGGTGAAAGGGACAATAAATTATTGTTGTGTTATATTTTGCTTGATTAATAATATCATAATTATTACAGCCAAAGCGCATCAATCTCCTATTTTATGCCAAGGGCTGCTGAAGACAATGATACGTATTTTCTCACCTAAACTGCATGAGAATCATGTGAGATAGCTATTATTGTCTTCCAGCATTTACAGGTGAGGAGACCAAGACACAGCAATGTCTAGGGACTTGCCTAAGGACACACAGTGGGATTTCCCTCATTCTAGTGTGGACAGATTGGAGCATGTGAATGGATACCTTGAAACTCTGGAATAATTAGGCTGCTGGTTGGTGTGCTTTACCCCTAAATCTTACTCAAGAATGGATGGTTCTGACAAACACATGTGCACAGCAGGCAGTACTTAGTTTATTTTGAAAAGAACTGAACAACCGCATATGGCAATGGAAATAAAGGAAGCTTGTTCAAATGGCCAGTCTACGCTCAAATTTCTAAATGAGGTAACTATTTCAGAATAAGCCTTATTTTGTATTGTTTTGCCTATGAATTGACCTAATTAAAAATTAAATAATTTGCATGGTAATAACACATGTACCTTCTCATCTGTTAGTATCACAACTCAAATGGAATTAAAATTTAAAATGTCATATAAAGTGGGAAAATAGTAACTCATGTTAACATTCGTATTGATCTCTTATTGTATGAGAGAGAGAATCATATCACTAAATAAAGAACAAAGTGCATAAACTCAAAAGAAAAGTCTCTTTCACATTCTATGTTACCTACTTGCAGGGAGGTAAATAATGTAGGTAGGTCTTACCTGAATGATGGTAGATTATCAATACAAATCTATATTTCCATACAAATATACATTTTTCAATACAAATCTATATTTCAACACAAATATATATTTTTAAGTATAAATTATACATTCTTCCTTGCTAGACAGCACTAATATTTTTTGAAAAACAAAACAAAAAAAATCTCTCTGTCTCTCTTTTCCTGAGCATACATTATTATTAACAAGAGGCATCTGGTTCCCATTAATATTGAGAGAAGAAATCTATCTTAGGAATTATGGTTTAAGTTGAATTGTAGGGCAGGAGAATTAGCCATCCGTCCTGCTTCACATGCATTTGTAGTCATGCTAATCACCAGCAGGAATCAAGTCAGTCTCTCTCTCAAAATGAATTAAATAATGTAAAATCTCTTTCACTGTATTTAGGGCAAGTGAGCCATATGTGCATGTGAGATCGAGAGCATGAATGTGTGTGGTGTGTGTGTGTGTGTGTGTGTGTGTGTGTGTCTGTGTGTGTATGAGGAGACGGGGAAAGGAGGAGAGCAAGAGAGGAAAGTCCTTGGAAATAAGCCATCATGTTGCTGTTCATAGCAAATACTCCATCTACTACAAGAAAAACATCAGGTCTTACAACTTCTCCATGGGTTTATGAGTACTACTTTTAGGGATTATCCAGGTACTTGGAAAGGTAGTCAAAAAATAAATGATTTCTCATTAAAAAAAAAAATAAAATGGAATTTGCAGAGCCAAATGAGAAGTCTCCAGGAGTAAACAATGGCCTGTAGCAGCCAAAAGATGTAATGTGAGTGAAAAGCAGGGTTGCTTAGTGCCCGGAACCCTTAAGTCTAAGCAGATAGAATTAGATTTGCAGCCTCTGCCTGCCAATCATTTGCTCTGTGACCCTGGAAAAGTTGCTCAGCTTTTCTGAGCCTCCTTTTCTTCACCTGTGAGTGAAATGATTGGTATTTATGTCACGGGACCATGGTAAGGACTAAACTAAATGAGACCTTCTCTTTGAAATTCTTTTAAGGCCCACAGTGTGGTTGAAGCTCCCAATAATACTTGGATCCTCTTTTGGTTTCTTTCATCTTACCTGGGGAAGGCCGGTTGCCAGTCTGTCACCTGCTTGAAATATCTGCACATAGCCACGCTAGTCTCACATAATGGCAGATCCTGATTACCTTAGATGAAGTAAGATAAACAGATCAGAAGCTTCGGTTCTGCCTGGACTAATTAAATAATGGCTTGTTCATCTACACTTTGGCCCCCAGCCAGATGGGAGTCAAATATGCCAACCTTGACTTTGCCCATGAAGATGCATGGTTCCCTTCTTTGCCAAAGGAAAAAAAATCAAGTTTGAGAGACAGTTCCTATTTCTTAAAAAGTATTTGGGTGTGCATACATACCTTCTTTTGCTTTTCTTTCCTCCCTTCCTTTTCTCTCTCTCAACCCTTTCTCCCATTAAAAAGGGGTTTGAGTGTAGAAAAATGTCAACTGAGTTTCTCATTTTAATAAAATAAGCACCTAACTTAAGTGGGGGAAAAAAGCATTTTATGAAAATATGTCTCTCTTGCTTATGAAGTTGAAATCTTGAAGTAGTTTGTCATGGCTAAAATTTGGCACAAAGCACTGAATATCCTTTGAATGATTATATTAAGATAGAGGTCAAAAGAAGAAGAAAATTGTTCCACAGAAGGCCATTAGATATTCCCATAGGAAAAGTACTATAATGGTCCCATAACTATACACTGTTGAAACCACTGGCTCACAAAATGCAGAGTAATGAAATGAGGCTTGTTTTATACTCTTGCTTCATTAGATTTCAGGTTCAGAAGTGAAGGGTTAGAATATGTGGCCAGATGGGCTAGGAAAGCAGTTTGAAGAATAAAAGAGGCATCAAGGAGAGGTCAGATGTTCCAGAGTAAGAAACTTCTCATAAAGCAAATGGAAATGTAAATTAAGCCATGGCAATATGTCACAGGGGCATAATAAACCTTGACATTTCCACAATGTGTGAGAACTGTTATACCCTGTGCTCTGCAGATCATATTTGTGTGATATTCTCTTGGATGAGGGCCATTGACAAGTGTTATCTTTAGAAATTGTCTTCAGTAGTCCAGGAATGGAAAGCAAAGACTCAGATCAAGTTGTGGGGGAAAGAAAAGTTATCATCACTGACTGAATGCCAACTGCCTGCCAAGTACTACGCTAAGTGCTTTCCATTTTTCTCAGTCCTCAACAAAAGTTTTATTCTTTCGAGATTGTTACCACCTTCTTGCAGATGAGATAACATAGTACTGATACTACTAAATAATACGTCCCAGTCAACATGGCTGATGAGTGACAGCACTGAAATTTTACCCGAACCTTGATGAGTTTAGTAATGTTTATTTCTTCTCATTACAGCAAGTCTGCCATAAAGAAAAGAAGTAATTTATTTACCTGGAATCTGAGATGACTTTTCTAATCCAGCACTCCCAAAATGTGCTAAAAGGGACACTAGCCTTGGGATTATTTCCCAAAAAAATCATTGCTGTTTAATGTGTGTGTCCTTATATATTCTTCGGTGTCTTTTCAAAGATTCAAATGCATATTAGCTTACTTAAATTTCTGACAACCCCTATGCTAAAAGAAATAAAGCTGTTTAGCTTCATTTAACTGAACTTCAAAATTTTCTTTTGACCACAACACCTTTAAATCTCTGACTGAATCAGTGTTCATCCCAATATTCTTTGAGAAATGCCATTCCAAAAACCAACACGACATTCCTAATCTTCCTCTTGTCTGGTCGTTTCCATTGGCAATGGATTAACAAACATGCAGGATTGAAAACTCACGGCCAGTAGGAGAAGGACCTCTTTCAATAAAAAAGAAGAAGTCAGGATACATGGAGCAGACCAGTGTAGAACATATTTAGTTTTGGGTTTTGATAAACAGAGTTCAAATCTAACCACTGGATAGGCAAACTTGGACAAGATTTAATCTCTCTAAACTCTGGTTTCCTCATCTGTATGATGAGAATCACAAATCCTACTTAATAAGATAGTTATAAGGAGAAGATAAAATAATAATTCCTATAAAATTTTCTGTAAACCATGAAGAGCTAAGTGACATTATTTAAACCTTGCTATTTCTTTAAGTAGTCTCATTATTTCTTCATGTGTCTTGTCTTTTATTATTGTAAAATCAATTGCAAGACATAAACATGAATGTTCTGAGACCTCAGGATTACACCTGCTGTGTGAGTAGTTAGGAGAGGAAGTAAAGTCAGCAACAACTTTCCATGGACTTTTACTGTGAAATTATAATTATAGTAAGACTGCCTTAATGTGATATGTAGTATTTGTCTAAAACCAAGACTTACCATGATATCTAAGGCCAAAACAGTGGGCTCTAGGAAATCTCACTTAAACATGTCACAATATTCTTATTACTCCTATTAATTGATTTTCTTCAGAAAATTCTAGACAGCACATAACTTAAATCATATAAAATTGTTTTCATAGGTCAAGAGTGGGTGAATAAAGGACATGAATAGACATTTCTCAAAAGAAGGTAGACAAATGGCCAACAAACATACGGAAAAATGCTCAGCATCACTAGTCATCAGGGAAATGGAAATTAAAAGCACAATGTGATACCACCTTACTCCTACAAGAATGGCCATTAATAAAAAGTCAAAAAAATAGGTGTTGGCGGATATGAGGAAAAGGGAATGCTTATACACTGCTAGTAGGAATCTTAATTAGAACAATCACTATGGAAAACAGAGTGGAGATTCCTTAAAGGGCTGAATATAGATCTACCATTCGATCCAGCAATTCCACTACTGGGTATCTACCCCAAGGAAAAGAAGTCATTGTATGAAAAATACACTTGCACTTGTATGTTTATAGCAGCACAATTAACAATTGCAGAGATGTAGAACCAATCTTAATGCCCATCAACTATTTAGCAGATAAAGAAAATGTGGGATGGGTGCGGTGGCTCACGCCTGTAATCCCAGCACTTTGGGAGGCTGAGGCGGGCAGATCACGAGGTCAGGAGATCGAGACCATCCTGGCTAGCACGGTGAAATCCTGTCTCTACTAAAAATACAAAAAATTAGCCGGGTGCAGTGGCCAGCACCTGTAGTCCCAGCTACTCGGGAGAATGGCGTGAATCCGGGAGGCGGAGCTTGCAGTGAGCTGAGATCGTGCCACTGCACTCCAGCCTAGGTGACACAGGAAGACTCCCTCTCAAAAAAAGAAAAGGAAAAAAAAAGAAAATGTTATATATATATATTTTTTTCTTTTACATTCCATAGTATGTGGAATACTACTCAGCCATTAAAAGGAACAACATAATGTCTTTTACAGCAACTTGGATGGAGCTGGAAGTCATTATTCCAAGTGCAGTAACACAGGACTGGAAAATCAAAAACTGTATGTTCTCCCTTATAAGTGGGAGCTAAGCTATGAGAAAGCAGAGCATACAGAGTGATGTAATGGACTTTAGAGACTAAGAAGGGGGAGGAGTGTGGGGGAGCAGGGATAAAAAACCTACACATTACGTACAAGGTACACTACTCAGGTGATGGGTGCACTAAAACCTCAGAATTCATAACTACATAATTCATCCATGTAACAAAAAACCACTTGTACCCCAAAAGCTACTCGAGAGGCGGAGGTTGCAGTGAGCCGAGATCGCGCCACTGCACTCCAGCCTGGGCGACAGAGCGAGATTACATCTCAAAAAAAAATTTTTTTTGAAAAAAAGAGTGGGCCAGGCATAGTGGCTCACACCTAGAATCCCAAAGTGCCTAGAATCCCAGCACTTTGGGAGGCCAAGGTGGGTGGATCACAAGGTCAGGAGTTTGAGACCAGCCTGGACAACATGGTAAAACCCCATCTCTACCAAAAAATATACAAAAAAAAAATTAGCAGGGCATGGTGGCACATGCCAGTAATCCCAGTTATTTGGGAGGCTGAGGCAGGAGAATCATTTGAACTTGGGAAGCAGAGGTTGCAGTGAGCCGAGATCATGCCATTGCACTCCAGCCTGGGTGATAGAGCAAGACTTTGTCTCAAAAAAGAAAAAAAGAGTGGGTGAATATTAGCGATTTCCTATAGCTCCACCTAAAATATATCTGAATATCTACAAGAAATAATTCTAAATGCCCTTAAGCTGCACACTTGTGGAGTAAGCAAAGAATTCTTTAGGAAAAGAGTACAATTTTAGTGTCATATTAAAAACTTACATAATTTTTTTTCTTCATACAATTTTGATAAGTTATGTGAGGCCATTTAGTGAACTGGACCTTTATGGGGAAAATTGCATGAGTTCCTCACAAAAAGGTGGAACCAGCTCGAGTCTCTGCTAAGATGTAAGGTTGACAAGGACACATGGTTTTTCTATTCACTGCCCTGCTCTGTTGTCTAGAATTGATCCTGCTCAACCAACTTACAGGTGGTTGGTAAATATTAGGTTGGTGCAAACGTAATTGTGGTTTTGCCATTGAAAGTAATGGCAAAATCCACAATTACGTTTGCACCAACCTTACACTTGCTAATGAAGTTAGCAAGTGAATGGATCGTCACCATATGAGTGTGTATATTATAGGCATTTGCCTGTAGGAAGTTCAAACTTCCTCACGTATTTGATATTGCCCATACCAATTCTTGTGATTCAAAATGCCATGTCCCACTTTACCTACTACTAGCCATGTAATTGAAAGAAAGCTGTTTCTGTGTATGACTCCCATGTTTCAAGTGGAAATAAAAGCATAAAATGAAACCATTTTCTATGATTTTGTGCCTAGTACATAGTGAGAATGAAAATCAAATTCCATCATAATGTTACAATCTCAATTCCTTCTTTAACCAAAACAACCAAATTGCAACCTCATTCTATTCCCTTATCCAATGTTCTTTAAACAAAAGACAGTTATCTTACAGTGCTTCTATTACTCACTCACAGGAAAGAATTTGGGAAAATAAAGGAACTCTAGTTTTCTGGGAGGCCCTGTACAGTGGTATGGATAATATAAAAGCTGTGATTTATCAAGCATTTGCTCTCTGCCAGGTATTATCCCTGATATCCAGAGATGGCATCTACTGCCCTTCATCTTGACCCTCGGCTGACTTGTTTGTAAGAAAAGAAGGTGGCAGTGTGGGTTCCAAGGCTAGGTCAGCTTCCACCATGGTCTCTTGGACTCTCCTGGAACCCTGCTACCATGCTCTAAAAAGCCCAAGACACATGGAAAGACCATATGCAGGCATTCCACTTGAAAATCCCAGCTGATCCCAGCCTTCAAGTCATCCCAGCCCAAGCCCCCAACCTGTGAGTGAGGAAGCCTCCAGATGATTCCAGCTCCCAGCTGTCCCTGTCACCCAAGCTGTTCTCCAGTCTTACTAGCTGAGGCCTCAGAGGCCGTGGAGCAGAATCAGACCACCTCCGATGTGTTCGGTTTAAATTCTTGCCTCACTTATAAATTATTATTAATCCTTTCTGTCCTCCACAGGCCACAGCCATAAAGTCAAAAACAAATGGGAATTGGCCTTAATTGGAAGGAAGTCACTGATTCCAGAATTTATTTTGCTGTGAGAAGGAAGAACATTGACATGGAAACACTCATTTTGAAGTTGACAGAATGCTGCCTGGAGGATTCTAAGAGAAAAGTAGCATGAGTCGTCTACCATGCAAAGGGAAAGATTAGGTCTTATTATAATCATCCTGCCTAAAAGAATCCCAGCCAGTCAGTATAAATAAATAATCAGGAACCTGGGGAGGAGCCAAAGGTCCCAGAGAGCAAATTGTATCTATTAATACATTTTTAAACAGATGGAAGATAAATGAATAGTGTTTGGCATGGAATTGCAATATATTTTTAATACAGCCATTCATGAGATTGCCTCAGATGGTCAGTTGGTGGGCAAGGAATAACTAAGGGAACAGGGCTAGGAACAACCAAGTTTTAGTCACTCCCAGTGGTTGCTAGATTCTTCCCAAATAGAGTTAGGTGAGTCTCAGACTTACATTTAGGAAGCATCTATAATTGACTAAAAGTATAAAAATTAGATTCTGGGGGAAAAAATACCGTAAGTGAAAGACAGTGTTATTTTTTATGAGATGTAAGGGAAAGACAAAGAGAGAAACATTTGTTAATGATAGTATCTTCAGACCTTTTTGGAAGGTGTTTTTTTGTTTGTTTGTTTGTTTGTTTGAGACAGAATCTCGCTTTGTCGTCCAGGTTGGCGTGCAGTGGCGCCATCTTGCCTCACTGCAACCTCCCCCTCCCAGGTTCAAGCGATTCTCCTGTCTCAGCCTCCCAAGTAGCTGGGACTACAGATGCATGCCACCATGCCTGGCTAATTTTTTTTAATTTTTAGTAGAGACAGGGTTCCACCATGTTGGTCAGGCTAGTCTTGAACTCCTGACCTCAAATGATCCACCTTCCTCGGCCTTCCAAAGTGCTGGGATTACAGGCGTGAGACACCACCATGCCAGGCCATAAAATCTTTCCAGAACATTTGTTACCCTATATCTTCCTTGCCCATTCTCTACCTTTTTCCAGTGTCATGTCCCTCATGTTCCTGAGGATCCAGCTCGGGCTATGCTCATTTATTCATTCTCCTGGCATTTGTTGAGCATAAGTTTAGACCAGATGTCATGCTTGGTGCTACATTAACAAAGTCAAACAGTACAGCTTCTGCCTTCAAGGAACTCCTTATTTAGTGGGAGAGACTAATGCCTAAATAGACCATTGCAGGATAGTGCAATAAGTCTTCAATAAGGACACACATGCCGAGGAACCTAGAGAAGCATACAAGAAGGTGCCGAGCCCACCCTGTGTACCTCAAGAAAGGGCTTCCACAAGAAGTTCTGCCAGTCCTAAGGAATGAAGAGGATGGTGTAGGAAATATAGTGATGGGGGAGAAGGAGAGTGAGCAAGAAGGGATCATTATCAAAGCAAGCAGGTGCCAGTGAGCAAGAAGGATCATTATCAATGCACGCAGGTGCCCAGAAAGTGAGAGAGATAAGAAACAAGAATTGTCTGGGAATTGCAATTTCTCCTTTGAGTAGCCCGTCTTGACAGCCTTTATTCTTTAACTGCACTTTGTATGATCTCCCCCATAGCCCTGCTACATTATCAAATCCTTCGCTATCCTCATTATTTGATCGATCTGTCTCCCTGGCTTGGTTATGAGCCCTTTCAAGGTGAGGCTATGTCATTTATCTGAACATCCCTAGTTCCTAGCTCAGTATTCAGTATATGCCTAGTGATTTAGCCGGCCTGCATTTATTGTCAGTGTAAAACACCAACTGATCCAGCTATTCAATAAAATGGGTCTCTGAATTTGATTTTGAACCTAAGGGTTTAACTGGAATAAAACTGATTGCTACCAGGTTGATACCACTGACTTATCTCAGAACCCTGGCTTCCCTTAATAGGATTGACTCACACGATAGGGAGGGCATTTTCAAATCAGGAAGACCTTGATGGAACTCTGCTTTGCTCCCTGACAACTGAGGGCCCCCGAAGCTTTCCACCCCTTTGAATCTTGTGGTTCATAGCTGTAAAATAGGAAAGACAATACACTCAAAGGTTTGCGATGAAGATTCAGTGAATAAAGGATTGGAATCACTTCCTAGTGATTGGTACAGGCGAGGCACTTAAAAGAGGCGAGTTGTATCTCCTTGGATCTCACCTCCCTTCTTTCCAGCTTCTATCTTTTATGAACTGGCCTGAAGGCCATAACCAAAGAGAAATACGAATCATTAATGCAGCTCCTCTTTTATTGCTGTGGGCACCAGTTACTGAATTCTAGCTGCTGAGCTCTTTGTATACATTATTTCCGATTATTCAGAGCACAGCTCGGTAGGAACCACTTCCGGTTCCCAGGTGAAAAAACTGAGATCATTTGCCCCAGTTCTCACAGCTGGGCAGGGACTGGAATTGTAACCAGGAAGTGGGTTTGAGTGAGCCTGTGAGAGCTGGCTGCTAAGTTTTCAGAAACTCCATGAGCCGATTGTTAAACAGAGCCATTCTCTAAAATTAAATTATTCAGGCTTACAATTAATTTAATTAAATACATTACATTAAAAAACAATGAAATCCCATCACTACATAATTATTTTCTATATTTTACTGCAATTTATGTCAAGAGTCAGCAGAGAGTCAAGAATCAGCCTCCTAGTTATGCTTGGCCCACCACCTCTTTTTGTAAATAAAGTTTTATTGAAAGACAGCCATGCCCATTTGTAGAGGGGAGCTGTCATGTGCCAGGTGCTTTAGATTAGCAATCTCAGTCAATTTAGCAATGTAACATTAATCAGTCATAATATTGACTGATAGGATAGAGTCAGGGCTCCTGGGATTTAATTCGCACCCAGTCCTAACTTGGCAAGTGTGACTTTGGGGAAGTGGTTTAACTGCTCTGTGCTTCAGTTGTCTACATCTGTACAATGGTATCTTGTGTCTTGGTTCCTGGGGAATCAAACAAAAAACTGCTTACAGAGACCTTAGAAAAATTCGAGGCACTAGCAACAGGACAACAAATGTTGGTCATTATAGTTTGATCCTTTCCAGGAGATGGTAGGTCAGAGATCATCCCAGGCTAGCCAAGAAACAGCAAGAGAGATCAAATGACTCACCAAAGTACACTAAGGACAGCAGCCTAGATTCAAACCCAAATCTTTCCGATATTTAAATCCATGCCATTTCCAATAGACCATGTAAGGTTTAAATGACAGAGCATTCATCAGGGACCCAGCCCTGTGCTCAGCCCATTTAACTGGAGATTGGGTTTTTAGTAGGCAAACAAAGAGAGATTAGGATGAAGAGGGTTATTGGAACTATACTATAGAGGATTTTTTGTTTGTTTGTTTCCGTAATCCCAGATAAAGGAACTTGTACTAAATTTGGAATTTGCTAAGGAGCTATCAAAAATTTCTCAGCAGTAGAGAGACATGGTTTGTTCTGTCATATTATGTAGAAATCTGCTCCCAAATCAAGTAACAGTTGGTTGTGTTTGGTGACTAATCAAATCACCCATCTGTGGGAAAGTTCCAGCTGCTTCCTGCGTAACCCACTGGGTCCTCTGGCTGAAACTCACTAACCAGTGCACATCTCCGTCGGTGGCAGCATAGTACACATTGCTTTCCAAGCAAGATCCATCCCCTCGGAGCATTTTCTACTCTTTCCTGTCTTTCATGATCACATCCCAATTAATTAAGGAAGTCTTGCCAACTACTACACCTTAAAGCATTCCCTGCCTTCAGGCCCCCCAGAAACTACCCTCATGTCCAGCACCCATGGTCTCTCATGATGGCTGGAAGTCTGTATAGCACAGTGGTTACGGCTCTGTGTCTGACCTCACCAGACTGCTTGGGTGGTGTTCCTGCTCTGCCGGGTGGATAGAACACCCTGGGCAAGCTACTTAAACTTTCTGGCTCACAGTACTATTGAGGAATTTAAAAAGTTAACACTACTGATGTGCCCAGAACAGTTCCTTGTACACAGGAGGAGCTCAATAAATGCTGTTGCTGCTGACACTGATAACTGGGTTGACAACATCTTGTAACCCAATATCTGTGGATCCAGAGTCTCCTCACGCTAAAGCAGTGTCCACATTAGTACCTGAGTCATATTTCTAAAACACTTGCCACCTCTCCAGCCCACTCTGCTACCAAACTACAGTTTCTTAATGTCTGTGCCGATCTTGCCTACGTATTTACATTAATGTTGCTTAGTATGCACCTCAGATATTCCTCATTATACAGCTCTACACATCCCCAGGGACATCATGCTTTATTCTCTTCCTGCCACTTTATGCTTCAATAAGTACCAAGTACTTAAGATCCCTGGAACACGCACCATTGTGACTGTTCAAATTCATGCGTCTTCAGAAGAGTCTCTTCCTTAGAGAGATTAAAGATCACTGTATTCAGGTCTTCTTTTCCTAATATTCAATCTCACTCTTATTATGATTTATTTTTCTTTGCAGCGCTTGTATGTTATACATTTACTTTTATATTTATTACGGGTCTGTAGCCCCTACTGGAAAAAAAAAATACTTGGCAGACTCCTTGTCATATTCATCCTTGTATCACTAGCCCCTAAAAGGGTGTCTGTTCATCTAAAATTGAGTTTGGGTGTACCAAGCTCCAGCCAATCTAGTAAGTCCTAAATTGTTGAACAAAAGAACAAAGGACAAATGATGGTACAAATAAAGGGATATCTCGTGCCTTTGTGCTTTTCTATAGCCTAGTCTCTCCGAAACAAAAGCCTTTCCCACCTTGTCTTCCCTGAGAACTCTGATTCATGCATCAAAATCTATCTCAATGACCAACTCCACCGTAACACTGAGGCAGGAGAAAAATAGAGAAAATGAGGCCGGAGAATAGCAAAGGGAATTAAAAGTTGGATACAGCACAGAATAAGTAAAAGCAGAGAACAGAAGCAAGGTGAAGGGATGGGTGAACAGGAAGGGAGATAAAAAGCAGATATTCAGCAGCCAAAAAAAAGTGAGATAAAAAGGTGAGCAAGGACCCCATGACCAGCAAGACTGGGACCAAACCAGTAAGAGGCAGCGCTTCAGAGATGGGCATGCACATTAGAGAGAAAAAGTATCCTTAACATAACCTTGTATGATAATCAGCTACTTAAGGTTCATGCCTACGGGCTGCATATCATGCATGTACTTAAAATTATGGGATAGAGATGATGCACAAGCGCACAGGGGCCAAAGTAACTAAGCAACACACCTATCAATCTAAAGGGTAGACACTGGCGAGAGATTAGGCAGCCTTGGGAAGAGAAGAAAAAAAAACACATAAAAAGACCCAAACTACACCAAACTGATGGTGATCTCATCTCACAGAGGTCAGTTCGCTCTCCTGCTCCGAGAGTGTAATACTGAGCTTCATACACTTTCATCGCTTTGCTTTGCTATGTATGTGTCTTGTCCAACTCTTTGTTCGGGACACCAAGAACCTGCAACTGAGTGGCACCATCTGGTAGCAACACCACCCTTGATTTTCACTCTAAGGTAAAACTTTCTACTTCTGCTGTTTTTGTGACTTGGACTTACAAATGATCACAACATGTGTGAGTATTTAAAAAGTTGTCCCATTTGTAGCCCGTAAGACCCTGGGGGCAGAGCAGAGACGGGACTTTGACAGGGCCAGCATAGACTTGGACATAGGCATTTGTGACCCTTAGTAGAGGTTGCTGGATTGAACTGTGTGCTCCTAGAGGTCCTTAGAATGCCTTGCAGATGCCTGATATGACAGGGGAGAGGACTGTGCAGGATCTCTTCAATCACAAATTCAGAGCCTCCAGGTCACAGGACAGAATCGGCTACCCACATCTTTCATCAGCCTTGGCCTCAGGGATCTGCAGCTTTGCTGCAAAAGAATCACAGAGAGCAGATGTTAATGGTGGCCTATGTTTGCATTTAGTGAAGAAAATTCAGGGAACTTGTATGCAAAATTAGCCCAAGCACCGAGCTCATGGCAGCCAGCCAATTCTGTCTACTAGCCTCCTGTACCCTTCCTTTCAAGGTTTCGAAAAAGTCAAAGGAAGCCTGGAGATTCCAAAAGAATTTTCAGTGCAAAGCAATTTGCATGCCAGAAATGTCTTTTCTCTCTTCCAGTTAGGCCCTTCTTCTCCTTATTATTGTTATTATTATTTTACATTGTGCATAGATAGAAAGTGGACTAAATAACTGGGGAAGATGAGTTTGGTTGTACAAATTCCTGCTGACCTAGTGAATAAATGTTAGCAATAGAGGCCAGTGAAAAGGAGAGGCTGAAGGGATATGGGGGAAAGAAATTGATAGAAGATGAACTTTTCACATTCAAGGTTAATTCTGACCAGAGATACCAAAAAAAAAAGATATTTTTTCACCCCTCAACTCTAGGAACATAGCTTGCATCAAATGTTTCCAAGATTGTTTTAAATCTTTTCTGTGGCTTCTATAGGAACCCCTAATCCCAGGTCTCCCTCTCTCTTTCTCTCTCCCTCTCTCTCTCTCTCTCTCTCTCTCTCTCACACACACACACACACACACACACAGACACACACATCTCATCCTAACCCCCATTCTTGTCCCAAGTTAATCTCTTTATCCTTGCCATCCCTAAAATTGTTGTATATGTTCTTATGGCAGAGACTAAAGATGTGATCACATTGGATATTTTCTTACAAAGAATAAACCACTAGGACATAATCCCCAAAATGCCACTTTTTGGCCTGAGCTGGGATCCCTGGATGCAAGCTGCCACCATCCAGTATCTAGGTAGGAAAAGTATATCTGACAGGATGTGTCTGAGGATATTTTGCCAAAAGCAGTGAATATTGGGCCAAAAGCAGTGATTATTGGGAGAATAAAGGGCTCCGATGAAAGACAAGTTCTCACTCAAACACAAAGGGTGAAATAAAGGCATTTCATGGAGACAGAATGGGGGAAAAGTCCCATTTTTCTCTGGTTTTCTGTTCCTGTGAGAATCAGAGTGAGCACAAAACCATGAAAACAATAGGCCCAGCTGCAGGGGCAATAAGGCAATTTATTAGGGAGATGACATTTTTAATGAGAAACACTTGCTGGAGGAGAACAAAAGGGCTTGTTTGGTCAGAAAGATGCTCTTGAATCTCTTCTGAAGTGCATGAAAAAGTAATTTCATTTACGCATCATACCCTGAGCTGTGGAATTTCCTCAGGCTCCAGATGTTGTCCGGCGCAGATGCTGAACAAATGGAACAAATGTCCTAAGAGGTTTTTTTTTTTAAGCAACTCAAGGGAATTTTATGAGCTTTGTGGCCAAGAAAATCATTAGCAAATAATGAGCTTAAGAAAGAAAGGCTGAGGTTAGCAATATGTTGCTGGACGTACAAAACTATTCATAATCATCTGCAATCGAGACGGATCAGTTTTCAACTTAGAAAAACAGAAATCAGTGGGTGTAGCTGCTGTGTTTTGGGCTTCCTCACTGGCCTTCTGAAAGTGATTTGGTAAATATTGTGTTGGCTGTATTCCAAAAATAATTAAAAGCAACATATTTATTGTTTGAGATTTGAAAATCTAAAACACAAAGATTATTACCTTATAGTAGTAATTCAAATGCTTCCAGAGAAGGGGCAACACCACTCTTTTGGCCTGAATTCTCTTTTGAGGGTCCTGAGTTCTTCACCAGCTAACACACAAGGTGAGCCAGTGTCCTGAGGCAGCTTTAATAGGAGAGCCTAATCAGGGTGCCCCTCTGTGCTGACTGCAGGGGCTGTAGTGCTCCCTGAGGGAGCCACCAGGATCTCTATATGGCCTTTTTTCAGCCAGCTTCTTTCTCTGCAGCTCTGACAGGGGCCTGTATGAGTGGTTTTGGAAGATCATGATGTCACGCAGGGTGCTTTAGGTCAGGATCTGAGAACCAACTATGTTTGAAAATTCAGGACATGGCCAGGCATGGTGGCTCATGCCTGTAATCCCAGCACTTTGGGAGGCCAAGGTGGGCAGATCACCTGCGGTCGGGAGTTCGAGACCAGCCTGATCAACATGGAGAAACCCCGTCTCTACTAAAAATACAAAATTAGACGGGTGTGGTGGTGCATACCTGTAATCCCAGCTACTCAGGAGGCTAAGGCAGGAGAATAACTTGAAAACGGAAGGCGGAGGTTGCAGTGAGCCGAGATCATGCCATTGCACTCCAGCCTGGGCAATAAGAGCAAAATTCTGTCTCAAAAAAAAAAAAAGAAAAGAAAAGAAAAAGAAAATTCAGGACAAAAGAAGTCTCTGATTCAAGTGTCAAGATCTGTGCATAGGACTCAAGTCATGAGTGCAACTTCAGTCGGGAGGGCTCATGTTAGGACAGTAAATAAAGATACAGGTGCACAGACTGGTGCAGCCATGGGCGAGAAGGCAGAAGAAGTCAAAAGATAGTCACTTCTATCCTTGAGCTAAAAGGGCCAGATGTTCTTTAAATGTCTCACCAAGCCCACGTATAACAGGACTCCAAGCTCCTTGACATCACTTGCATCACCATCAGTGTCATCAGCATCACAACAAATATGTTCTTTCAGCACTTACTATGCATTTGTCATTATCAATAGCTATGCATAACCCTTATCCTCACAAATCTGCAAAGCAAATACTAATGTCCATCTCCACATTTTAGGGATGAGACATTGAAGCCCAGAAAGGTTAAGTAAATTGTTCCAGGTCACATAGCCAGTTAGTGGTAGAGAGGGTGCCCATGGCACCATCACCAATGTTCCTGGTCCTCAGTACTTGATAATGTGCTCATGCATCGATTCTTGGACCACACTTGTAGCATCTGGGCTTAGCAAGGGGGAGATGTGTGAACTAGGAGGAGTGGCCATACAGACCAGTGTTTAGAGATCTGGCCAGGGTGTTGCACCATAGAACAGCTCTGTCCAGCTCTGGGAAGTGGTTTTTAAATAAACCTCTTCAAAGCAGTAAATTATCTTCCATCTCTTAAGCAGATGGATGATAAACAAAGTCAGTTAAGTAATGTCCATACATGTATTAACCTAGCAGTTGAAACATGTGTGGAGATCTTTAATCTGTCAATGAGATTGAGTGGGAATGCTGTAAGCTAAGGCTTACATCAGGACAACTTTAGCTGCAATGAGTACAACTTTCCTGCATCAGGACAACTTTCACTGTTGTCTGTTTGCTGGCATTGTCTACCTGGCATTGACTCAATAATAACGCAGAAGATGACATCTTGATCAAGACCAATTAACACATTCCTTGCAGCTGTTTATTGCTATCTGCAGTGAAGACAGCATCTGAGGAAGCAGCTGGCAGCCATTGCCTTTTCCAAGCAAAAAGCAGCTCTTTCAGCACAGAAATCAGGTTGGCCTTAAGCCAACAAGGGTGATAGTGCTTTCAAGAACAGAGGATAATCAAGGGTTTTTTTTTTTTCTTTAACCCTAATATGACTGAATTCTGATCAGAGTGTTTGAATAGAAGAAATTGGCCAAAAACTAAAATGTCGTTGGTCTCCACGTACCTAGGGCTGGTGAATGGGCACAGGGAGTGACTTTTGTAGAACCAAAACCAAAAGAGAGCTTTTAGAATTGGAAGAATGAATTGCAACACTGATGGCTACTAGCTATTGAAGACCTTCAATGTATAAAATACTGTGCCATCCATGCTGTGTGTTTTCCCTTTCATTCTTTCTAACAGTCCTACCAAGTAGTGACTATTGGTTTTCTTTTGAACATGTTAGGAAATTAAGGCTCAGAACAGACAATTTGTTCAAGATTACACAGCTGGCCAGAAATGGAGTTGGAGTCACAGTGAGTCTCCCTGAAGTGAAAGCTGGTACTAGCCACCACTTTTTTTTATTTTTAATTTTATAATTTTTTTTTTTTTTTTTTTGGAGACAGAGTCTCCCCATGTCGCCCAGGCTGATCTTGAACTACTGGGCTCAAGCAATCCTCCCACCTCAGCCTCCCAAAGTGCTGCGACTACAGGCGTAAGCCACCACATCTGGCCTTGTGACCACTTTAAACAAAGTTAAGACCCTGTATGTTTTTCTATAATTAACCAAAATGACCAGTAACTTCCTAAGGAGAAGAGGATAAGTAAATTAGTTTTGGGATGAAGAGAGAGAGGTTTTGAGAAGGTGTTGTTAAGTTTGTGATAAAGTAACACAAAAGCACTCAAAATAGCTCACATAAAAACCGGGGAGAAATTGGTGCTAGTTTATAGTACTGAAGGACAGGATGCAACTCTGTTTTTCAAAAGGGGCTGCACTTACATGTAGAAGCCAGCAGCAGCTTTCTTCATCCTTCTTCTCTTTTTACCTGGTTTCATCCATGCTTGCCCCATCTTTACTCCCTTTCCAGACCACTTTTTCCTCCTGACTGACCAACCTCTCCACAGTGCACCAGTTCTCAGTTCAAACGACCAGTCCAGACTAATGAAAATGACAGCTTCGCAATTAGAATCTTCCAGAAGGAACTTCTATTGGCTCCCTTTGAGTTAGAAGCCTATTAAATCCTGCTGCTCCTCCCCAGCTTCATCTGGCACCTGCATTCACCTGCATTCACCAACCTGGTGGCCAAGGTCCTGCCTTCTGAGATGGAATGCACTAGACAGCAGCCATCGTTTGCCTCTGTGGAGCCTTTCCTATGATTTCAAGCTAGTCTATTGGCTTATCTGAGCTGACATTCGTAATGGTTACAGCTCTTACCAGCTCGACCATTTACCGACTCTAACTGTATGGATCACTTACCTACACTGAGTCACAGCTTGCTTCTCTAAAAGGAGCCAATCATCATAATGACCTTATAGTATTGTTGAGAAGGCTCAGTGAAATCCAACCTTCCAGGTGTGGTGGCTCATGCCTGTCATGCCAGCACCTTGGGTGGCTGAGGGAGGGACGATCACTTGAGGCCAGCATCTGGGTAACATAGGGAGACTCTATCTCAAGAAAGATGAAAGAAAAGAAAAGAAAAGAAAAGAAAAGAGGAAGGAAGGAAGGAAGGAAGGAAGAAAGGAAGGATGAAAGAAAGAAAGAAAAGAAAGAAAGAAAGAAAGAAAGGAAGGAAGAAAAAGAAAGAAAGAAAGAGAAAAGAAAGAAAGAAAGAAAGAAAGAAAGAAAGAAAGAAAGAAAGAAAGAAAGAAAGGGGGGAAGGAAGGAAGGGAGGAAGGAAGGCAAGGAAGGAAAGAAGGCAAAGAAGGAAGAGAAAAGAAGAAAAGAAAAGAAAAGAAAAATTCAGTCTTAACATAGTGTTCACCAAGTGCTGGCAATTATTATCTCAAATGTTAGCGGAGTAAACTACTGTGAAGGTGAACGAGGCATGAGATATTATATCTTTTTAATAGATAAAGACACTGAGGTTCAGGGAGTTTCAGTGATTGCCTATTTTTTGCATAATTTGTAAGTGAACTACAATTAGATCCCAGAGGACTTCCCATATACTATGTCTTTTCATGCAAGAAACTGCAGCCGAGAAAAATGGCCTCTATAGAGAAAATGGCAAATATTGAGTGGGGATGGGAGTAGGGTAGGATGGGTCTCCAGTGAACTCCTGCCCCTGACTCTGACTATCCCAAGATTCTTCCCAAGGGGAAGACTTTTACATGCCTCCTCTTCTGCCATCCTCCCACTTTGGATGTTACTATAGGCCTTAGGCCACAGGCTGTATGTGACAAATCTGAAAGAGTATGTTTTCCACATACAAGCCAGTCAATTTTTGTGCTTCATCTTTTTCAAATAAAGGTCTCAAACATAAGGAAATTAGGGAATGATGATTTTTAAATGTTCAAACATTCTTCCAAGGGATTTTTGAAAATTTAATGAAAACAATCAATCCAAATGAAGTACTCCTTTGGTGGGGGAGTCATCCTGTCTCCTCTCCATGACTCTCCCATCCGTGCAATAATGTTTTTTGTGTGTGACCCACATACTGTGAAAGAGGGCAGGAGGAAGCAGTAGGTTGAAGGAAAACAGGAAAATGTGTTGAGGTTATCAGTCAAGTAGACACTCTTTTCTCCCCACCCCTCCAGAGTTTATCACCAATCCAACAGGTTAGTCAACTGTATTTTCTTTTTATGTAAAAGGCTATATAATTTACCAGCCCTGGGAGTTAGAAGGATAAAGCTCTATAGTATCATAGCTAAATATGTGGCTATAAGGCATTCAGAGTTCTAAACACTAGACAGTGGTAAAATAAAAGAAGTTGGGGCATTTGAGGGTCTGGGGTGACTTCTCTCTTGGGTTGAAAAAATAATTCAAATGTGAATGTTCCAAGGGCAATGCAAAGCCAGGCTCAAAGCTTTTAGTGCCAATAGGTCCTAATTTGTGGGTGGGAGAGAGCAGCAGGCAGCCCCTAGCCTGGGCAATGATCTCCTAGTCAGGCAGTGCCAACAGATAAAGACACTGTAAAGTGTCTTGTAAAGTAATTCCAATAAGAGGTGGCCAGGACTAACTAAGGGGATTCGATGGTACTGGAGCCATAAAGGAGGGAGTCTGTAGGACAATGAGAGATATTGAGAGAGGGAAGAACATTAGGGACAAAGAGTAATGTATGCATAAAGAAGAATGATGAGCCACAAGGCTTAATACACTTAGAAAAGTATATACTTTTATACCCTGAAAATTCAGTGTTCTACTGTACTGAGTCTCATCCTGGTATGGTGATCTTGATGCTGTTGGTAGATGTTCTCGTTCTCCTGGGAACACGGTGGGACAAAGCTTGTTTGCTTCTTTGAAGCTACGTACAGCCATGTGATTTGACTTGGCTAATAAAAGGACTAAAGTGATGTGCATCACGTATGAACTAAACTTTTAAGACCCACATTTTCTTCCTACTGCTGTGGGAATAGTGAAAGTGCATGTTGTAATGAAGTGCACATGATAGAGGGACCATGGTGAGTGAGCCAAGCTCCTCTGACAATCTTCATCGGACGTCATGATAGTTAATTTTATGTGTCAGCTTGACTGGGCTAAGGGATGCCCACATAGCTGGTAAAACATTATTACTGGGTGTATCTGTGAGTGTGTTTCCAGGAGAGACTGGCATTTGAATCAATAGGATGAGTAAAGAAGATTGCCTTCCCCAATGTGAGCACCATCCAATCCATTCATGGCCAGAATAGAACAAAAAGATAAAGAAAGGGTGAATTTGCGCTCTCCCCTTGGGTCTTCTATCTTCTCCTGTACTTGGACATCAGAGCTTCTTTGAACATCAGGACTCAAACCATTCTCCCTACTGTCCCTGTTCTCAGACCTTTGGCCACAGAATGAGAATTATACCATTGATTTCCCTGGTTTTTGGACCCTTGGAATAGGACTTAATTATACTACTAGCTTTTCTGGCTGTATTAGGCCACCCTTGCATTGCCATAAAGAAATACCTGAGGCTCAGTAGTTTACAAAGAAAAGAGGTTTAATTGGCTTATGGCTCTATAGGCTGTACAGGAAGCATAGCTTCAGCATCAGCTTCTGGGGAGGCCTCAGGAAGCTTACAATCATGGCAGAAAGTGAAGTGGGTGCAAGCACTTCACAAGGTGAAGCAGGAGCAAGCAAGAGAGAGAGGAATGTGCCACATACTCTTAAATAACCAGATCTCATTAGAACTCACTCACTATCATGAAGGCAGCACCAAGAGGATGGTGCTAAATCATTCATGAGAAATCTACCCCCATGACCCGAACACCTCCCACCAAGCCCCACCTCCAACATCGGGGATTACAATTCAACATGAGATTTGAGTGGGGACAAGTATCCAAACTATTTCACTGACTCTCTAGCTTGCAGATGGCATATTTTAAGACTTCTCAGCTTCCATAACCACGTGAGCCTATTCTCATAATAAATCTCTTATATCTTTCTATGTATGTATGCATCTATGAATCTATGTATCTATATATGTATGTACATATTTATCTAATCTATCATCTATCTATCCTATTTTTCTCTGTTTCTCTGGAGAACCCTGACTAAAATAAATACCTAGAATAATTCAGAATTAAATTTTGTTGTATAATTCACTGAGATTTGGGGGTGGTATGATTTTTCAGCATACCTTAGTCCATTCCAACTGATACTCTTGCAACTGCTAATGTGTTTGGGAGTATCTGAAAAACTCTTTTACATTTTCAAAGCTATACCTGATTAGTGGCAAACTCCAAGGACTCAGCAGCAGATTGATAAAGGAGGCAAAGAGATGTTCTATCTTGACAATTACATCTTTATTCCTGGATTAAAGACCCTCTTACTCACCCTATTTACCACCTCTTGCCTTCATCTCTAGGCAAATTGGACTGGGACTTTAGGCTGGCTTTCTTCCATAAAGCTCTTTCAAGATGGTCTCCTCCGGGAAGAGTCTCCACAACGAAAGCTGGAAAAGGTTTCCTTAACTCCAGACAGATGAGCTCAGAGAACCACAAGAGGGCAGGTGTTCCCTAAATCAGATCTGATGGCTGCCTGGTTCAGACATTGGACTTTAAATTTAAATACTAGTTCAAGACTAACCCTTATTTTCAGTAAAGACAACATAGATGAGCACCGGGTTTGGAATAAGAAAATAACAGTTCTAATGCAGAGATGAGTCTTTGATAAGACTGGATGAACTCAAGGATTTGAAACAGTTTTCTGGGGATCCTTAGAGGCGCCAAGGAAATAACTGAGAAGGCAAGGGGAAGCCCGAACAGAGAGAGTGCAGGTCTGCATCTCAGCTTCCCAGTGCTTCTCGGCTTTATTGTCAACTATTGTGCTTCTCAGGAAGATATTGGTTAAGAGAGGTTTATTTAGCTCTAATCATTTATGACTTAATTATTTTACCCTTACAAGTGAAAAGCTTGTATCTGACCCTGAGCCACCATTTTTTCACCCATTTTTTTGAGGGGGAGGAGACAGAAACATGGCTTTTTAAAATCAGAATCTATCTGGGTTTGAATCTCAATTTTACTTTGGTTAAATGACTTTGGGTAAATTAAGACCCACTAAATCTCAACATGCTAGAAAATCTAATCACCCCATAACTAAAACTCTGCCAAAATATCTATTGCTTGTAATTGTGGAAAGGGATTTCCAAAGGGGTTCTATGTATATTAAAAATTAATATCCCATTACATATATTTATGCAAATGTATATATAATGGGATATTAATTTATAATATATATAGAACTCATTTGGAAATCACTTATATATAAAATATATAATATATATTATAATAGGATATATTTTATATTATATAATATATATGGGAATATATATGGGATAATGGGATATATATTATATATTATAAAAAATATATATTATAATGGGATACATTATATATTATAAAATATAATATATAATGGGATATTAATACATATAATGGGATATTAGAGATAGATGTTTTAGTAAGGAAAACAACTGAGACTTTGAAATGGGCTCAGAACAAAAAGTGAGTGACTATCCTGTCTAGCTCATCCATCTCTTGTTCATAGAAATGCAAATCAATTGTGACTGGTGGAATGCAACCAATTATTGCCTCATGGATAGACCATCAATTTGTAAATTCATTTCAGATTCCTAATTTCCTACATATGCCTCTGCTTTTTATACCAATTATAACATTTACCCGTTCTCTTATTAATTAATAAGCTAATAAAGTCTTTGATACCTGTTCATTTTATATCTATATAAAATTCACAATTATACCATGTCTTAAAAATTATCTTAATAGTTTCAAAGACATCTTACTCTTCTAGCTTTGACCAGAAAAATGAGGAAATGAAGAGAGAGAGAAAGTACATTATATTTTTATAAGGTTTTTGACTCCAAAGAGACATCCCAAATTGCCATTTTCATGTTTCCAACTCTAACGAGTATATAAACCCTGGGAAAATCTCAAGTTATATCTTTTGGTTTATAATGAAGATGCCTAAGGCTCAGGAAAGAAAGAGATTACAATAGTTAAAATCTGGGGGGGGAAATCATGAATTTAAAAATGTTTTTCCTCTGTGTGTCTTTAAAACATAAACATAGAAGATTTATTTTGTAAATCAAGTGTTTGTTCCTTCTGACCGCCCAGGCTCTGGATCATTTTCCTATAGGATTCCACAGGCCATCGTTTTATGGATGTATTCATGGACACATCTGGATGTGCAGAGCAGGATGGTCCAGTACGTCCTCCTTAGACAGGGCAGACAGCCAGCCTTGCCGTAGATCTTTCCATTATCCATGGTGTCCCTCTTGCTCAATGATGTGCAGCTGAAGGAATTGTTTGGGAGAAATGAGACCCAGGGGAGAGCAAAGGAACTCAACATTGTAAATTAAGAGAGACACTCATGGCCTTTCCAACCAGAGGAAAATAAACAGGGTTACAATGAGAACACAAAAAATCTGTCTGGAAAATCCAGTATACGCCCAGAAATCTAGTTTTCTTCCAAAGATTGATAGATGAAGATTTAATAATTCCCCAATATAGTAACTGACACATTAAAATAGAATTTCATAGAATTAAATTTTTTTCTTAAGTCTCATAGGAGAAAGAAATTTAAAAACCATCACATACCTATAAATGGAACATGATAAATGCATATGGAAAAAAGAGCAAATAACTGGGGTAAAACATTTTTTAGAGAAATAAATTGTAAGAAAAAAAAAAAACTTTTGACTTAAAAATTTTCTTCACTGTTAGACCAGAGAAATGACAGTTGTATTCTAAGTAGTGGTATTAGTAATAGGAGTTCTATATCATTATTTCTTTTAGTTTTGTGTTTCTCCTGTTAAGTCTAGGATCTTATACTATCTCTAAAGCAGTTAGGTCACTAACAACCTATGAAAACACATGTAGTATTCCTGGGGACATTCTTTCCAGAAGGCTGAAATTCCTTACATAGAAAGAATCTTTCACAACCATTGGTTAAGGTAAAAATACAAAACTAAAATAAAACTCCCATATTTGAAGAAAAACAATGAGATTCTCTACTTATTCAATAGTAAAGATTAATTTGTTGTTCAGGCCTTAAAATATGCAGGGCACACAGGCACTGAGAGGATACCCAGTTGCTATGGATGACATTGCTATCCAATGTAAGAGAGTGACCTGACAGTCTAGATACATTTCTGGAGGGCAACTAACAACACTTACGACAACCCTTAAAGATTTACATAGCTTTTTCCTTGGCAATTTTCACTTAATGCAATGTGTCCTAGGGAAAAAAAGCATAGACGAACCTAAGGATTTAGCAGTGGGATTGTTTAACACAGTTTAGATTAAAATTGAAACTAATAAAGAACAGCCCTACAGGATTAATGTGCACATTATCATACATCTGTCTGATGATCTTGAAACATCCATCAGAAGTAATGTTGTGGAAAAATTTTAATGATATGAAAGCAAAAGAAAAAGTCACAGGTTCACGATGTATTTTAAATGGAATAAAGCAGATGTAGTGCGAGTGTGTGCGTGTGTGCACAATGCATGTGGACACACACACATTTATGTTTATTTATTTATATTTACTTGTATGTGGATAAACACACCAAAATATTTACTATATTGAATTCTGAGAAACATAAATGAAGATTTTTTTAATTGTTTTATTTTGATTATTTCATTTTGAAAAATTTGTAAAATAAATATTAATTGTAGCAATAAAAAATAGCTTATTTCCATATTGTCATTTATTTTTAAGGTAGAGGGACTGGAAGGAATCTTTATAAATACCTATAACTGTGCCTAGTATTTATATACATAAATGAATTTAAACTTTATCTGAAGCATATAAATAGGTGTTCTTATTTTATTTTAATATATGATCTAATGGTGACTAAGAGACACTCAATGGCTTGCTTAAGGATACTACAAGTAAGTGTTAGAGCTGACATTTGATCCCTGGTCTGTCTCCAAAAACCTTTACTTTCTATTTAAACCTTAATCCTTTAAATGTCTTGGATCAATCAAACTAACAGCGAAATTATAAGTAAGCAAACTCAAATCTGTAAATATATTGATTTAAAAATTATTAACAGGTGTGATTAAAGTATGGTATGGATGTTAAAATATACCTAATAGACATGTTTAAAGGATTAGGGAAAATGAAAATATTTAGAAACTCAATACCTCACCCTGAACCCCTATGAAACCCCTATAGACTCCTGGCATATATACCCACCAAGTGACAACAACTGCATTATACCATTCTTACCAGGAATGTCATTATATTCATGTCTGCAGTGTACTACCATTTGTAAAAATTGCTTTAACTATTGGTCCTTTTATACTTACTGCACTCTGCAGTTGACACTGGCTAAAGAAAAACACAAATGAAAAGTGCTTTACTGGTGACATTTCCAATCCTTGATTATCATCCTCGAGCAGACCAGTAGTGATGCCTGGGGCTCAGTCATTACCCTATCCATTTCTCTCCCATTCTGTCGTAAATATACCAGACCTTCTTCCCTTTTTTCAAACCCCAACACCTCTCCCTACTTTTCACTCTCAGCTAATGACTCTACCTCCTATTTCCCTGAGGGTGGAGAAAAACCATGAGGAAAACTTCTCTACTTCTCTGTCTACCACACTTGCCCATTTGTGCTCTCAGCCCTGACTCAGCTTTTCTTCCTGTTACCATGGATGGAAATTTTGATGCTCCTAGCTAAAGCCAAATTATCACAGAAATAAGGATACTTCTTTCACATTTCTCCTCTCTACTATTAGCTAAGACACTTACCCTTATTTCCTCTATTAAAAAAAATCAGAACACAAAAACACTTGGCCCCACTTCTCCCTTCAACAACTGTGCCATTCTTCTGCTCCCTCTCTACAACAAAACGTAAAAATTTGTCTCTACTTGCTGTTTCTAATTTCCTCAGCTCATTTTCTCTTGAACTCATTCCAATCAGCACTTTCCCTCAATACTCTACTGAAGATGCTCTTGTCAAGGTCACAGCTATATGAGTTGGTTCAATCCTAGTCCTCATCGTACCTAGCAATCAGCACCTTTGACAGAGCCCATCATTCTCTGTATCTTGAAGGTCTTTCTTCCACCCACCACTCTCTCCTGGATTTTCTTCTGTCTCACACTGGCTTCCTTTCAGTCACCTTCTCTTTCTCTATTTGTCTTGTTAAACTTTGATCTGTAGAATATCCTGAGATGCTATTTTTGGCCTCATTTTCTTCTATCTACAGTAATTCCCTGGGTGAGCTCATCCACGTTACGGCTTCAAATTTTGTCTATATTCTTATTACCTCCAAGCTTGTAATCCTTAAAGAGGTCCTCTCCCTAATTTGAACTCTCTACTGGACATATTTACTAAGTTGTCTAACAGGCACTCCAAGTTTAGCGTGTCCAGGGATGGAACTCTATCACTTGAACCCCTGTCCTGCTCCTCCCGAAATATTTCCTAGGTCATGGATGCCATCTCCAGTCTCCTAGCTGGGACACCCCTCCTTCTTGCACTTCTCTCATGCAAATACTGTTTGCTCAACCTACAAAACATTTCTCCACAAATCAGCCATATCCCATCCCATCCATAGCAACCACCCTGATTCAGGTCATCAGCATCACTTAACTGGAATCATTTCACTAATCTGTAGCAGGTCATATGGATTCTGCCCTTTCTACAGTTCATCTTCATCTTAAATTCAAGAGTGATTGATAAAATACTTCTGCTCAAAATTCTTTCCATTATTTCCCAATGCTATCCTCTCCCTACCTCCCTAATCTCGTCTCTGTCCCTAGCTCACTCCACCCTGGCCACCCGGGCTTTCTTCCTATTCCTGGAAGGTGTCAGGCTTACCCTGATCTCTGGGGCTTGCCTTTGGGATCAGGAATACTCTATTTCTGGAATATCTCCTCCCAGATTCTATGGGGCTTGCTCCCTCCCCTCCACCAGGTCTTTGCTCAAGTACCACTCCCTTATTTTGAAGTGAAATACTTTCCCATTCCAGCATGCTCTTTCCTCATTATTATGCTTCATTTTTTTCTTTAGTGGTTGTAAGACCTAACACCCTATAGTTTACTTACTTTCTATCATCTGTCTCCATTTGCTAGAATGAACATCAGGGAGGGTAGGAACTTCTCTGTTTTGTTCATTACCTTAGCTCCCTTGGCTGCATTGAACATTACCTGGAAAGTATACACTCAATAAATATTTGTTAAATGAATAAACAGGTACATGGAAAATAAAAATATGTGCATCTATACATGCAATTGATTAAAATTGTATAAAGATACTCTAAAAGATAGCAGAGATTAGAATAGGACCCTAGGATTAGAGTGAAAGGTGTATAAACAAGATTTATTACTACATATGCATATATATTTTTTAAGAGACAGGGTCTTGCTTTGTCACCCAGGCTGGAGTGCAGTGGCCACTGCAGCCCACATCACAGCCCAATGAAACCTAGAACTCCTGGGATCAAGAGGTTCTCCTGCCTCAGCCTCCCAGGTAGCTGGGACTATGGGCACACACCACCATGTGCCACTAATTGCATACTTTTTACTGTTTGATGCTTGAGTCCTGTAAATATATTACCAATTTAAAAAAGCTATCAAAGTAAGAAAAGAGGTCTACTTGTCAGTCTCCTGATGCAGCAAGATCGCCAGAGTTTTGCTAGATTGGATATGGGCCTCACATGTTTACATTTCTTTACCCGAATGCTTATTGTTTTCTACTTCACCTTCGTCATATTTTCTATGAAACCTTTAGCCACTCCTTGTTGTATTTTCTCTGCTACTCTGATTGCACAATCTCAGTACCCAAATCACAAACTATTTCTGCAAAGACATCATTAGGGCCTTTGTCGGTTAACAGTCAGTTGAGATTACTTTTCTATTTCCACTTATGAAGATTGCTACTGCAGATGAACCAAAAGCCCATCGCAGCCGTTCCAGTGGATTTAGCTGGGACATTTATTTCCACAAAACACCAGATGGTTTAGAAAATTCAAATAATTCAGCGAAGATCCTATTTGGATGACTAACAGGTGAAAAGGAAACCAACATTTATTCGATCCCTACTATGTACCTGGAGCTGACCCAAGAACTTTTCTATGAGCCACTTTACATCACCAAGATGTCATTGCTTTTAGCCTCAGGAATGACCCTATCTAAACAAGTCCTACAGATTCTTCCTAACTTAGTTTCACTGCTACCTCCTTTGAGAGGTCTTCCCTGATGCCTCCATTTTATTTAGTTTTTCTTCCTATAAGAGCAACCTATATTTAATTCTTAATTGCACTCTTCATGTGATTTTTCTTTTGCATTTTTTCACTCTACGTGTCTTGGAGGCAAGGATTCCCATGTGTTACTTCGTGCTTTCTCTCTGGTGCCTGTCATGGTGATTTTCCCATAACAGATGGCCAGTGAAACCTTTTTGAATCAATAAGTAAATTAATTGATAAATTATTTACTATTTTCCATCTTTTTATTTTTTAAAAAAGAATTACCCAGAACTGCCTTGTAGTGGGTAATTTTGCCTTGCAACGGGTCAGCAAAACATAGTATTTCTTTAAAAATTGAAACAAATACTAAAGAAATACTAAAACAGATGCTAAAGTAAATAAAAAACATTTCCCTGTCTGCAAGGTGCCTGGCATGGATGTCAAAATGAATTCATAGCAGAACACGGTGCTTAAAAATAAAGAATCCCAGTGTAAAATAAAACATTTTCTTGACTAAGTTTTCGGTTTCATGATTAAAATACCTTTCACATCTGAGAGAGGAGATAAGCCAAAATATAAATGTCAAGATAAAATTGCTTATGAAAATGTAGTAGAGTTTAGCTTACAACATCCTTAGGAGAACAAAAGTGTCTCCCTGACCAGTACCCAGCAATAGAATTAAGTTATGGCCATTATCTAATGGAAAAGCTTAAAATGTGTCTGACAAGTAGGATCTCTCAATGAGATGGGGCAGAGGAGTTCAAAAACCTCAGAAGGAACCTCATCATAACGAGAGTGTATTCAAAAAACAACAAAAAGGCCAGGTGCAGTGGCTCATGCCTGTAATCCCAGCACTTTGGGAGGCTGAGGTGGGTGGATGGTTTGAGGCCGGGAGTTCAAGACCAGCCTGGGCATCATGGCAAAATCTGATCTCTACAAAAAATACAAAAATTAGCCGGGCATGGTGGCACATGCCTATAGTCCCACTACTCCAGAGGCTGAGGTGGGAGGGTCACTTGAGCCTGTGAGGTCAAGCCTGCAGTGAGCTGTGATCATGCCACTACATTCCAGCCTAGTCAACAGAGCGAGACCCAAAAACCAACAAAAATATGTGACACACAGGAATATTTCAGCCCCTTTCTCTGTCTCTTTGTGTGTGTGTATCTTTCTCTCTCTTTCTCTCTCTCTCTCTCTCACACACACACACACACACACACACTCATACACTCATGCCATTTTCTTGTGGCTGCCACATATTATGCAATGATCTTAGTAGTCTAGCTGACCCCAGGTGACAATTAACAGGAGATGAAAGAGAAGGAGGAAAAGGAAGAAATGGAAAAGTGGAATGAGGAGGACACACACACACACACCACACACGACATGCATGTGCACACATACACGGTCTCATTTGTTTTTCCAACAATATTCCTGGGTTGAAAGAAAGGATGAGGATTGCTATGATCATTGCAAGGATATAAAAATTGAAGTAGGAAAAAGCTAAAACAATACACACAAGGTCAACACCTTGGACAAGGAAACTTCTGAAGCCTGGGCTATAGATTTCATCAGGATAAGAATGTTCAACGTTACATTTTCGCTGAAAAGGATTCCCACTATTTTCCACATGCAGTTGCACTGACCGTTTTAAATGAAATAATTGTATATATGCAAAGGTCCTGTATAGCTTTTCTAAAATTTGACAATACTACTAAAAACTTACTTGAAAATCCAATAATAGGGCTTTGGTTTTTACCCAAAGGAGTGGAAAACTTATGTCCCTACTAAAATCTGCATGTTTATAGTAACTTGACTCATAATCGCCATAACTCTTGGAAGCAACCAATATATTCTTCAATAGGTGAATGGATAAATAAACTGTGATACACCCAGGCAGTGGAATATTATTCAGTACTAAAAAACAAATAAGCTATTGAGCCATGAGAAGACATGGAAGACACTGAAATCCATATTACAAGTAAAAGAAGCCCATCTGAAAGGGCTACATACTATATGATTCCAGCTACATGATCTTCTGATAAAGGAAAAGCTATGGAGACTGTAGAAAGATCAGTGGTTGCCAAAGGTCAGGGGGAAGTTAGAGATGAATGGGGAGGCACCAAGAATTTTTAAGGGCAGTGAAATTATTCTGTATGATACTATAATGGTTAATGTATATTATTATACATTTGTCCAAACCCAAAGAATGTACAATACCAAGAGTTAACCTTAATGCAAACCACAGACTTTAGGTGATAATATGTATCGATGTAGGTTCATCAGCTATAACAAATCTGCCACTCTAGTGGAGATCGTTGATCATGGGGGAGGCTCTGTATGTGTGGAGGCAGGTACTATATGGGATATCTCTGTACTTTCCTCTCAATTTTACTGGGACCTTAAAACTGATCTAAAAAGAAGTCGTCTTTTTAAAAGTGAAATTTAAAAAAAATAACATAAAGCTAAGATTTTTCCAAACTATCAATAATAAAAAACAGATTTTTGAACTATCATACTTGAGGAATGCGTGAATTTTCTTTCTGTTATTTCAAAAGGTGATTGTGACAGGACTAGGAGCAAACTGCCGCATCCTGGGACTTAGAAATGGCAACAAGGTTAAGACTGTTGCAGAGCTGTAGGACTATGAGAGAACTGGCTGGGGTTGCCAGGGCCAGGGCCTATAGGTGTATCTGTCACCTCATCATCAGAGCTCTGGCCTCTGGGTGTCCTTTCCTGCGGGGACCCTGGAGGTCAGATGCCAGACCTATGACAACTGAAGAACCATGAAAGGAGAGAGAGTTGCTTGTAGAGGCCACATAATCTTCAGGCCACAGACGGAACTGTGGTCTTTTCAGCTGACACGCACACAATTCCTACTATAACAAATCCCCTTTCAGTGAAAAGTAATAAATCTCCTTTTGTTTCAAGAATAGTCCTTTGGGATTTCTGCTTTTGCTTTCAGAAAACTCATATGAGAAAAATTGAATCCACACGGTTTGGTGAGAAAAAGATAGGCTAAATAATTAGATGGGATTTGATCATCTAGCAAGCAGGCTAAAGATAGGATAGCAGGCTTGTATTTCAGACTAGAAACGCTTATGTTTGGTGGGGATACAGAAGACGCAGACACATCCATTCTTCCCTTTCCCAGGTTTTGCCAGCTTTATTCTCAGTTGGCAAATATCACATTCCAAGTGTTTACTACTTGAGATTTAATATAAATGTGGCCTCCATAAATAGAGAGGAAAGAAGCATTGAAATAAACTTCTAATAATAGGCTGATAAGGAAAAATATGTGCATGCATAATTATATATATGAACATGTATATTTTAACCAGAAACTACTTTTCTGTGTGTCCCATAAATGATACACTAGATACAGCTTATTTTTTTCACTTTAAATTTGACCTGTCTTTAGACTCTCATTAATATTCTGTCCTATTCTCTGTCTTCCATGGGGTACAGCATAATGGTTACATGCATGACATCTGCCCTGTGACCTGCTAGTTCACAAGAGGCTTCAGCCTCTACTGCTGGCTGATCTTTGGACAGTTAACCTTACTATATCTAGGTTTTCTGGTCTATAAAATAAACACTAAAGTAATACTACTATGTTTCCTCTGAGGCCTACAGATAATCCCTATTCTGTAACTATCAAGGTACCTGCTATGCAGTAAATGCTCCATAAATGTTGTTATTATTTTTACCTCCCCATGAATTCATTCCTAAGCTGTAAAACAGGGATAATATTCATACTTATATCACAGGGTGCTGTATGATTACGTGAGTCCTCTAAAAATATTTATAGGTATCTAAAATATTTTTAGACTCAGAGTGTACATTCCATAGGAATTCACTATTGTTCTTCTCCCATTTCACCTTGTTCTTGGCCAGGCAATTTATTAGTTTTTAAAACACCCTGTTTCTCTCGAATAATTTGAAAAGGAAAATATTTATCATAGTGAAAGGGCTGCTCAGGTTTCTTCTCCCAGATCTCTCCAAGGCAGTGAATATCAAACTTAAGAGCTAGCAGCTAATGACAGGAATTAACAGCTCTTGCTCTGGACATAGTTGAGAGAACATTCCTCATACCTAGGTCTCACTTCTATCCTCAGATGCTTATGTGGGGCACCGCTCACTTCAGAAAAGTAGGTTATACTAGAATTAAAGTGACTTTTACTGGCTTAAAGACACAGTTCCCCAAATATAATTAGAAAGATTAATTTAGAAATTAAGAACATAAAAAGAGTTTTATAGTGCCTCAAGAACTACGATTGACTTTTTAAAAATCTTTGCAACTTAACTGGGTTTGCCTTACTGAATCTTAAATTCTGTGACCAGTTGGTTTTAGATTTGCAAAGCTAAGGCAGCCAAATTGGTTATTGTTTCTACTGGAAGGCAAATATGCAGGATTGACTAGATGTGACAGATATATTCTATTAAATTTACAAGTCTAAGTGAAACTGGCTAGTTCCAGTGGAAAATCTCAATAATTTGAATAATAAATGCTATTTTCATCAACTATGGACGAAAAGGAATTTAGAATATAAATTATTTTAAAGGATCATCATCTCAAGAGCCATGGGCTGGTGCATTCGCGCATTAAAATACCTATTCTAGACAAATCCTCCAAAGAGCAACTGTTATATTTCAATCATCTTGATTCTCTATAGTTTTATGAATGTCCCTGTCTTGATTGAAAGAACTGGGAAGAGTGGTGGCCAGTCTGACAGATGTTCCATAGGGTTAAGGCTGGGGCCAACTCTTACCTATAACCGTGGTCAATTCTTCAAAGGTCCTTACAAAGCAGAAGGTAGAAGAAAAGGTCAGCAAGTCAGAAGGGAAATTTGAACAGATCACACCATCAAAGAGACAGGCCTGATAAAGTATTGATATTTAAACCTAAAATGCAGATCTGAGGTAACAGACCTGGGGAGCTAAAGAAGCAGGGAGCAACACTTCAGGCAGGGAGGGCTGGCTTACACAAATCGTAAAATGTGCTGTTGCGTGTGGAGGCTCCTGGTGTTGTAGGTAAAGCTCACATGTCTAATGAACCAAAAATGAAACTGAGACCACCTTGTAAATGTAATCCTCTGAGTGGTAGACATTGTGTATTCATGTTCTAACCAGGATCTGTCATGAATCCATCTCTAAATTCTGTTCATTTCTACTGCAGAAATCAGGAATTGGCCATAGACACACACACAGAAAGAAAAATGCATAAAATTATACCTATTGTTAATAACCTCTCCTACCGTCTTTACTTCAGAAACCACACTTTTCACAGTAGTCACCTATGTAGATGCCACAGCCTTAAACCGTATCTGAATTGTATTTATTAAATAGATAAAGAAAAGTTATATGTGGTAGGTATGAGCTATTAATGTCAATGAATGAGCCATTATTTTTATTGCATAAATTACTTTGGTGAGTAGAAAGCATATACTAGAATATTTGCATAAAACACACAGCATATGCAAAATTTAATATATATATAAAATATATACAAGTAAAATTCTTTTAATATATATATAAAATATATACAAGTAAAATTCTTTTAAGAACTATCTTGGATATATTGTTATGGTTACCTAATATAAGACTATTTTTGCTTCCCATTATAGTCAATCCATAAACCTATGTGTGGGAGACTGAGAGAGTAACTTCTGGCAGAAGAAAGATTTTTGTGGTCTTTGTCGGCTTGGCCTGGAGAGAGGTTTTCTAACTTGACATGGGAAAGTTTTCATGAACATGACAACAGAAATATGAGTCCATGACTGAGTGAGGTTCCAATCTATAAGAACAGGACATAATGAGGAAGTGACAGGTCACACTGGAAGCTGAGTTAATTGATTATATTCATACGGAACATGGTAAGAACTAAATTTACTTTGAAAAATCCAAATTTTAATGATAGTCAAGATACTGAATTTTCAGGTATTAACTTTCTGTTGTGAGTTTTAAAATTTCTCTTTGCTATGTACAAATATCTTTTTACCCTAAAGCTATTTTTTCCTCCATTTCTGAATAGAACACTGGATTCTTCATAGGCTCATGAGATCACTACTCTTCTGATAAAATGCAGGAAAGGAAAAGAGGGAGCCATATGAACCCTTCTTCTCATTTTTCAGTCCAATTTGCAGACTAACGAACTTTACGCTAATGAAAATTTGAACTAATGAACGTTTCCCTTGTCAGTATTAAATCTTATCAGTGCCACCATCTCTAAATGATTACTGATCTCATTTTTGATCCAGAACTCTTTCACTCTTGTTGTCTAGGCTGGAGTGCAATGGTGCAATTTCAGCTCATGCAACCCCTGCCTCCCAGGCTCAAGCGATTCTCCTGCCTCAGCCTCCCAAGTAGCTGGGATTACAGGCGCCCACCACCATGCCCAGCTATTTTTTTTTTTTTCTACTAGAGGAGAGGTTTCACCATGTTGGCCAGGCTGGTCTCGAACTCCTGACCTGACCTCAGGCGATCCACCTGTCTTGGCATCCCAAAGTGCTGGGATTACAGGCGTGAGCCACTGCACCCTGCCTATATATATAAATTCTATAATAATTTGAGACAAATATCAAGCCCTCCTCCTTCCATAATATCTTTCTTCTCTACTAGAATAAACCATAATTTCCTCCTCCTCTGAATTTCTGCACTTTCATACAGATATCATCAACAGAGAGTGAGCCTTCTTAGCTGGAGGTGTTTGAGCATAATCTCTGGCCAATTGTTGACTGAACACTACCAGAGCACTAAGATTCAGGCTGAAAAATAATAAATAAAGGAACAAATAAGTGAATAATTTCTAAAAATAAGCAGAGCAGGGACATTCGCGGCCACACCAGGTAGGGGAGACAGAATTCACAGATTTAATTCATGCATGTTACAAAAGAAAACAACAACCCTCAGAGAGAAAAGGACTCAGAATCCAGAACTGACACAACATATTATCTAGAATGTCTCGACTTCAAATAAAAATTATAAGGTGTGCAAAGAGACAAAAAAGTGTGATCATATTTAGAGGAACAAAACCTGTCACTAAAAGTTGTCTCTCAGTGTCACCGGTATTAGATTTGTCAGACAGTGACTTTAAAACAGACAGGTTCAATGTGTTCAATGAATTAAAGGAAACCGAACATAAAGAATTAAAGGAAAGTATGTTAATAATTATTCAATGGCTCGGCTGTCTCAATAAAGAAACAGAAGTTATAAAAACGAACCAAGTGGAAATACAGGTTGTATATAGCAACATAAGGATACAATGTAAGGTTATCTAAAGCAATAATTATGGCAGTGCCTTGTTGGGTTTATAACATGAATATACACATGTAATACTGCATGTGAAAACAATAACACAAATAAAAGTGAAGGAGAAAGATGGAGTGGATACGAGTTTCCATATTTTACCAGAATTTAGATAAAAATTATAACCGTAATAAAAAAAACTAAGCAGAGAGGCTCTATAAGAAATTTTATACAACAGAAGTCACCAAACTATAAAAAAGATCAATAGAAAATACCACGTTTAAAGAACACAGAGAAAAAAAAATGAAGAAAAATAAAGGGAGTCCTAAATACCTGTGGAATAGCTTTGAGTATAACAATTTAGGTGTAATGTTATTTCTAACAGCAAAGGATAAAAAAAGGAGAAGAAAAATATTTCAAGAAGTGATGGCTGAAAACTGTCCAAATTTGATGAAAATCATTAATCTGCAAGGAGCACCGATAATCCTCCCAAAAAAAACACAAAAATATTCACACCTAGATACAACACAGTTAAATTCTTAAAAGCCAAAGACAGAGAAAAATCTCAAAAGCAACGAGAGAAAATACAGGGGAATAAGAATAGATATAATAGCTAACTTTGTCAATCAGGGATTCTAAACCAAAAAAAAAAGTTTTTGTTTTTGTTTTTGTTTCTTAATGAAGGTGAAATACAAACCTCTCCAGACAAAAGCTAAGATAATTCATCATTTGGACACTTGCATTATCAAATTTGTTTTTAAATTACTAAAGGAATTTTGTAAATATGTAGGTAAATATATAAGACTTAATGTAAAGTATTTTCTCTTTTTTCTTAACTTCTTTAAAAGACATAAGGTTGTATAAAGTATGTTTATAATACTGTATTGTTAAATATGTAATATATCTATATCTATCTGTCTGTCTATAATACATGTGATGATAACACAAGAGCAAGTATAGGAAAAAGTATATATAGTAGAGCAAAGTTTTAATAGTTGATCAGAAATTTGTTAGTATTATTTTGAAAGATACTGTGCTAATTTCAGATGCACACTATAATCTTTATAGTATCTACTAAGAAAATGAAGAGAAGTATGAAAATGGCACACTGAAAATATTTATTTAACATAAAGGCTGGCAGTAAATCAGAAACAGAGGAAAAAGAAAGACATGGGATAAATAGAAAACAAGTAGCAAAATAGCTGATATAAATCCAACCATGTCAATAATTACATTAAATGTGAAAGTACCAAACTCTGCCCTTAAATAGCACAGAATGTCAGAATGAGGTTTTAAAAATTCATCAATGCACTGTCTAAAAAAGAAATATGCTTGATTTTAAAATACAGGTTGGAAGGAAAATAATTTAAAAATATAAATCATGTAAACAGTAACCATAGAAGTGCTAGAGTGGCTACATTATTATCAAATTTAAAAAAACAGGAAATATTACTAGAGGCAAAGAGGGTTACTTTATAATGATAAAAGGCTCATTATATTAAAATGATTTTAAAATTGTAAATATATGCATACCTACCTCAGAGCTCCAAAATACATAAAGAAAAAAAACTACAGACTTGAGAAAAGAATTAGAATTAGACAACTTAGCAATAACAGTTGAATATTTAAACCAGCTAATCTCAGAGATTAATAGAAGAGCTAGATAGAAAATCAGTAGGTGTATGGAAAACTCAATTCTAGCAATCAATTTTATCTAACCAACATATACAAAATATTCTACCAAATGACTGTAGAACACCTATTAAAGTGCACATGAAATATTCCTCAGGATAGGAAAAAAGGTCAGAAGATATCTCAATAAATTTTAAAAGACTGTCATCACACAGAGTGTCTTATCTGATCACAATTAAATATCCATTATAGAACCAGACTAACAACAAAGGAAAATGCCAAATACTTGGAAAGCAAGCAAACTTCTAAATAATGCATAGGTTAAAGGAGAAATCACAAAAGAAATTTAAAGATATAAGAAATGGCACAAAGTAAAAGTCCAGTATATTAAAATTTATGGAATTTAGGTAACCAGTGCTTGAAGGGAAATGTTTACCTTTAAGCACCTATATCTGAAAAAAAAGAGTTTTCAAATCAATAAACTAAACTTCCACCTTAAGAAACTAGAAAACAGTAAACTAACTTAAAAACAAATTAAATATTAATAAATATTATATTAGAAATAAATGAAATAGAAAACAAAAATAATAGAGAAAATCAACAAAATAAAATTTCTTTGAAAAGATCAACAAAATTCACAAGATTTTAGCTAGACCAATTAAGAAAGAAAAAAAGAGACACAAATTAACCAAAATCAGAAATGAAAAAGAAGACATCATCATCAACTTTACAGGAATTAAAATTCTCATAAGAGAATTTTATGAACAACTTTATGACACCAAATTAGATAACTCAGATGAAATAAACAAGTTCCTACAAAGATACAAATTACCAAAACTGATGCAAAAATAAATGTTTAAAGTTTGAATAGCTTATACAAAAGCTTATACACAAATGTTTACAGCAACATGATTTCCAACACTCAAAGACTAGAAACAATCCAAATTTCCATCAACTGGTGAATGGATAAACAGATATGATGTATACATCCAATGAATACTATTCTTCAATAAAATAGAATAATATATTAATGCATATTACAATATGTACAAACCTCAATTATTATACCTATTGAAGTTTAGGCTTAAAAACATATATTGTATGTTCTATTTGTATGAAATATTCAGTAAATGCAAATTTATGGAGATACAAACCTATTAGTGGTTGCCTGTGGCTGCTTATAGGAGCAGGGATTGACCATAAACAGGCTGTAGATAATATTTGGGGGATAAGGGAAGGTTCTAAAAAACTGGATTGTGATGATGATTGTTTAACTCCATATAAATTTACTAAAACTCATTGAATTATACACTTAAATTGAGTGGATTTTATGGTACGTAAGTCATACTTTCATGAGGCAGTAAAAATAAGCAACATAGATGATGTTGCATTCTTTCCTGCTGCAACTAGTCAGAAGCTTATGATGTCAGGTTGTTTCATTATTTTGGTTGGTCACTTGGTTCAGGTGGCGTCTGCTAGATATCTCCGTTGTAAACACGCCTTCTATGGTCTGAATGTTTTTGACTTCCCACAAATTCATCTGTTGAAATTCTAAGCCCCAATGTGGGACCTTGAGGGGTAATTAGATCATGAAGACAGAGCCCTTATGACTGCAATGAGTGCCCTTACAAAAGAAGACTGAGGGAGCTTGTTTGCACCTTCCACCATGTGAAAACACAGTGGGAACACGTGCATAAACCAGAAAGCAGACCTTACTAGACACTTAATCTGCTGGCGCCTTGATCTTGAACTTCCCCCACCTCTAGAACTGTGAGAAATAAGTGGCTATTATTTATAAGCTATGCAATCTACAGTATTTTGTTCTAGCAGGCCAAATAAACTAAGACAATATCTTTTCCATAGATAATTAATAAGTAATCTAAGGGGCAATATTTTGATACTATATGAGTGTTCCATTTCTAACAAATGCTTGCTATCTTATTTTATCATTTCTTCTTTAGCTTCATTAGCTATCATCCTTCATGAAAGTGAGCTCACTCTCCACTCCGTTTTCTTTGCGTATCACTATGGACACCTTTATTCTTTTTCATTCAATATGTTATAATTGATCTATCTCTATTCTATTTTATAGACGTATTGCCCTAACGTTGACCAGCTGGAGTCCCTTCAAGTTAGTTCATCCTCCTTTTGACATGTCTGCATCAGCCTCTGAGCACTTCATTGCTTTCCAGCACAGCAAGATGTTACACATTCATTCTGTCCTTTTCCTGACCCAGCCATTTCTCCATGTATTCCTGGTAGCTTTGGGTGGTTAATGGTGTTTAAAATCAGAAATGATATCTTCTTTATCCTCCCTCCTCTCCACCCAATTGGAACTCTAAAGAGTTGCTGAGTCCATAATAAATATTTCCAATAAATGTTGGTGAGATTTAATCTCATCATAATGATCTGGGAATGCTTGAGAGTCCTGTGATGGATGTGTTGGTGAGCAAGAGGAGACAAGCGGGTGGACTTGAGCCCTAGCTGGCATTGCTTCATCGGGTAGCCTCTGCAGGTCAATACATAGTCAGATTTATTCTCTCCGACTGTAAAAATAATTACCTGCTTCTTAAGAGTTCTGGGAAAATTAATTTGCTAATGCCTTTAAAGAGATTTGAAGATCAAAAGTTCTATGTATATGCTAATATTATTATCTTAAATGGTTCTCTTGCTCCTGACTGAAACTGAGATGGCTAAATCACAGTGTCATTGTAAAACCACACACAATTCCCTATCACTTTAATGGCCAAGCAGTGCAAATCTGAATGGTGGCATTGCAGCAGCAACAAGCAAAATGCAGAACAGTAGGAGTGGTTCTTGAATCTCAATATCTAGGTGTGCATTTAGTTGAACCAATACTCATTAACTCTCCACTATACCTATCTACTATGTGTAAACTATTGGGCACAGTCCCACTTTCTAATTTTATTTATCTTCATTCCTTTCTGAACTTACTACTTCCGAACTAGCAAAAATCTTCTGCAGAGGCCAGATAAAAGTTTGCAAAACAGATAGTTATGTTACATTGAAGAGAAGCTGTCATGAGCAATGAGGAGACCTGGTCTTAACCTCTGCTAATAATAAGATCTGACACTAGGTGAGGCAAGTCATTTCTCTGTGACCCTAGTCATTGGTCACATTCAGAAACCATGATGCTGTGATTCTGGCTGTTGAGGCTATTGACTTTGCATGAAGAACTGCAGAGACCCACAGCAAGGGCCAGGATATAACGAACAAATGAGAGAAAGGCAGGCTGGACTGTGTGAACTATACAGGGTGATACTGCACCCTCCATTGGTTGGTCTTTAGTTGTTCACTGCCTACATAGTCACGGGCATAGATAGATAATTGTGACTTGGGGCTATCAGATGTTTTAGTAGTTTGTCTATAAAGGTGGTTGTGATAATTCTACCCTTCCCTGTATGCACATCTCTTTTGCAGTGTAATCTTACCACTTCTGCCATAAAAAAATAGGAGGGAATGTTTTCCCCTCGCAGGAATCTGAACTGACTTTGGGATATACTTTAATCCAGAAAATGAAAATTAAAGAATGTTGTGTGACTCCCAAACCTTGAATTTAAGAGGTATGCAGCTTCTGTTCTAACCTGTTGGACACTGACAAAACATGCCCTAAAGAAATCCAGAAGAAAAAAGCACTTGGGGAAACAGACCCAGCCATAGCAGCCTGTCCTGCCATCCTACAGAGCTGAGCCCCCCGTAGGATGAGAGAGCTCTAACAAGACCAGTGGAGAATCCACCAGACCAACTCACAAACGCATGAGAAGTGATCGTTCATTGTTAAGTACCATAATGGTGAAAATAGAAAGCTAAGCCAATAACAGAAATATGTATTGAACACTTACTATGGGTCAGTACTCATTCAAACCCTTTCAACGTAATAACTCATAGAATCCTTTTAAGAACCCTAGGGGCTAAGTACTATTTTTACTTCAATTTAACAGATGGTGAAACTGAGTCAGGCAGGGATTAACCAACTTGCCAATGCTTTCACATACATTAAGTGGTGCAGCCAGGATTCAGTCACAAGTAGGTTTGACTTTGGAGGCTGTGTCTTAATCCCTATACAATGTACACAGAGTGGACATTTCCCCACTGGCCTGGGGGCATCCTTATGACGTCGATTTTTTCCAGGTAAATAAGCAGCATAATCTTTCACTCACTAAAGTCTGTCCAGCAGCCCGATATCAAAAGAAACCACTCATCCTCCTTTCAATAGGTCATTGGACTGTGGGTGTGTTTTTAGACCTTTGAAAGACCATTATCAATCCTGAGTGTTTACTCTTGATAACACTCTTCAGCTATGAGAGGGTGCAGAGTCATAGGGTCCAGACACATAGCTCTGAGATAGAAATGAGGGCAGAACTTGTATCACGAAATGTGTTTGTCTGGGATTTCAGGACAGGTCACCTTAAAGCAGCAAGCTGGTTAGGCAGGGAACAGCCACACAGTTTACCAGTATACAGACCAACAAGGGAGGCAGGGCTGTAACATGATCCTATCTGACAATAGTACAAATGAAGTGCCGAAAGCAATTGCCTTTTATACACAGGCAGATAAACAATCATCCGCCTTTGCCTTCAGAAACAGGTCCAGGCATTCAAGAAGGAGAAATGCTAAAAGAAACGTGGCACTAATGTGTCAAAACGTGGCACTAATGTGAACAATGACTTTCTTGCTTAAGGTGATGACAAAACAGCTCCTGATAAAGAATGAAATAAACATCGCATGGGAATAATTGTAATGAGGAATATCTCACTCTTCATCGAAATATCCATGAACATCATCTTATACACTGTGAAAAATATAATTACAGAACTGACCCGGACTGGAAATGTGAAGAATCTATAGCTAAAGCCTGGCTTATTTGGATAAGATTCCACTATTTGCTTATCGAAGAAAATTACCATGAAGTATTTTTGTGTCTTCTGCAATATATCTTATTTTAAAATATTGGAATATTCATTGAAGAGTATTTAAACTTCTTAAGGAATTGCCCTGGTTGTGTTTTTGAAACCTCTTACTACTGAGGATATTACATTAAAGACTGAAAACACTTCCTCAGATAGAAATCGAAGATATGAGAAAAAAAATAGATGCATGAGCAAGGGTATTTCCAGCCTGCTACATAGGTTGTGATTCCGTTCAGTAATAACAAAGCAACTTTCTAGATTCTCTATGTGAATATGACTGTGTGAAGAGGTACATCTAGCTCAGCAAGGATTCTATGTGTCAGTGACACATATTCCTTTAGAATCCCATATTCCATAAGAATTTTTGAAAATATGGATGTCAGGGTGAGCACTGTGAGAAGTGAATAAAAGTAATAGCAGCAAGGAGCTATTAAGCATTCAAAGCTATTCAGTGCTTATTAATGTATGGTAAGCAATATGAATATCTTACAGCTCACAGAAAAACCTAATGAGGTAGGTATATTTTACATTTTTGAAAAAAAAAGAGGCTCAGAGAATAAGGAATTTCTAGACGTTCAGAGCCAGGTACCACTTTGTCTCCAAAGCTCTGGCCTTCCTAGGATACATGTAGGAAACCCGGCTCTTTGGCCCCACTTCAAACCAACACGCCAGGTGTAGCTCCAAATATCTCAATCACTACCAGGATCTCATTTTTCCACGCCTCCCCTCCAAGTCATCAAAACCGTCCAGCCCTGTTTTGTTTTTGAGCCACTGTTTAAAAGAGTAGGAAAACCAGTAACAAACTTATTCCACTGTCTTGAGAGATGTAGAACTATTCTTGTTTCTATATATTGAGGCACTGGCATATTTCTTATGTCTTCTAGTTTTTCACTTTTAATCATTCACTTAACTTTTTTTTTTTTTTGAGATGAACTCTTGCTCTTGTCCCCCAGGCTGGAGCCCGATGGCACATTCTCGGCTCACTGCAACCTCTGCCTCCTGGGTTTAAGCGATTCTCCTGCCTCAACCCCCCGAGTAGCTGGGATTACAGGCACCTGCCACCACGCCTGGCTAATTTTTGTATTTTTAGTAGAGACGGGGTTTCACCATGTTGGCCTCAGGTGATCTGCCAATAGAACAACTATTTATGTGCAAGGTGCTATGCTATGCATTAGAGAATCAACAACAGACAAAATGTAAATGATGCTTGCCTTAAACAAAGAATCACAGAGATAAATACGGAACTATAAATGTGCATTAAATCCTGCAATAGAGAAATTTATGATGCTATAGAGCTACACTGTTCAATACAGTAACCACTAGCCAACTGTGGCTATTGAATTTAAATTTACTAAAATTAAATAACATAAAAAATTATTCTGTCACACTAAGCTACATTTTAAGTGCTCAACAGCCTCTTGCAGCTATTAGCTACCAGATTGGAAAGCACAGATATAGAACATTTCCATTATTACAGAAAGTTCTACGGAACTACCTATGTCTTTTCTTCATAACATTTAGACTACTCTTTGGTTTACTTATATTTATTTATGTTTGCTTTATGTCTATCTATTTCACTAGAATGTAAACTTTTCCATGCCAGAAATTTTAATTCCTTCTTGTTACTAGAGGTTTACTCTAAACTGTGCCTGGTTTGTCTAGAGCTCGACATCTATCTATCCCTTGCTAGATTCTCCCTTTACCCACAGGCCTTGTATGTGGTTTGACAGAGCAATGCTACCCAGTGGCCAAGGTCTTCACCAACAGTGTCCCAAACTGTATCTGGGCTCAATGCATGCTTTATTGAATAGCTTAGCTCCCTAGAAGAGTCATCCCTTGGAGTCGGTATTTTCCCCGTCTCTCATTCTACTGATACCATCCCCTCTCCCTTTTGTTTCCTACTAGTCAATTGTGCTGCATGACTTGCTCCTGAGCATATCTGAGCTATGAAAGTCCTGCATGCCCATTCCTGCATTTCCCAATGGCACAGTGGGTTGCATGAGTGAACCTCGCATACATCTTATTATAAAAGCACATGAGCTGAACTTTCCATCTTAAACTCTCTTCATCCCTTCAAGGACAAGTGAGATGATTCTGCTCTGAGAAGCCCGAAGAAGAGAGCAGAGAATAGAAATCAATATGATGTTTAGAAAGGTTCTCTAAGAATTTGCACCCTATGCCTGATGACCACTAAACAATGCCATTTGTAGCTAGCGTGGATTGTGCTGTACTGACTTGCTCAGTGTTTTTAGTAATTTAGACACTTGGTATAAGACTTTAGGAAAACAATTTAGAATATATAAAAACAGCAAAAAGCTGTCATAGCAAGCTGACAGAGATAGATTAGATAGATAGATAGAGGTATACATATATGGATATAGATATATGTAGATAGGGATGGATGAATAGATAGATACATGACAGATAGATAGATAAAGGTATAGGTATAGATATATGGATATAGATGTATGTAGGTAGGGATGATGAATAGGATGAATAGATAGATAGATAGATTGATTGATTGATATAGGTATAGATACATGGATATAGATATATATAGGTAGAGATGTTAGATAGATAGATGATAGAGGTATTGGCATAGGTATACAGATATAGATATACGTAAGTAGGGATGGATAGATATAGATAGATAGACAGATATAGGTATAGGTATAGATATATGGATACAGATATATATAGGTAGGGATGGATAGATAGATAGAAGATAGATATAGGTATAGGTATAGCTATATGGATATAGATATATGTAGGTATGGATGGATGACTAGATAGCTGATTGATAGATATATGATAGACAGATGGATATAGGTATAGGTATAGATATATGGATATAGATATATATAGGTAGAGATAGATAGATGATAGATATAGGTATAGGCATAGATATATGGATATAGATATATGTAGGTATGGATGGATGGGTAAATAGATATAGATAGATATAGGTATAGTTATAGATATATGGATATAGATATATGTAGGTAGGGATGGATAGATAGATAGAAGATAGATACAGGTATAGGTATAGATAAATGGATATAGATACATGTAGGTAGGGATGGATGAATAGATAGATGATAGATAGATAGATAGATATTATAGGTATAGGTATAGATATATGGATATAGATATACGTAGGTAGGGATAGATAGACAGAAGATAGATATAGGTAAACATATAGATATATGGATATATATAGGTAGGGATAGATAGACGATAGATAGATAGATAGATAGATACATAGATAGATAGATAGATAGATAGATAGATAGATAGACAGATTTATTAATGCTCCTGTTCTCTTTTGCCCTACATTAAGAATACCCCTTTGCCTCTCAGCCTCCTCCCACCCCTCTTGTGACCCCCTCCAGTGAGCCTTTGGTAGATAATCTCCTGCGCTCATATTAGATGCAAACAAGGTAATTGCTAAACTTAGAAAGACCAGAAAGTTATTGGTAAGAAGGGAGGAGGTGATAACGCAAGCTTCAATGGACTGAATTGTATGGGCAATGAGAAGAAGGGCTTTAGTGGGGAAGGAGACTTTGAGGTTACGGTGGGGGTGGGGGTGGGGGTGTGCATGAGGAGGGAAAAATAGAGGTTTGCACAAAGATGTTATGTTTTTTGCTGCTTATCAGAAATATTTTAAAAAATAAAGCAGTAAAAATTTAAATTTCTTTCCGTTGTTTTTCTATGCTGAGCTGATTATTTTTAAAAACTGGGCACTGTCCTGGGAAGGGAACATTAAAAGAGATTTACATGGATGTATTTCTGATGTTCAACAGATAATTTGCCCAGAGAAATTCAAAGAAAGAGAAATTTATGTGCACAAAAATATGTACCCAAGCCTTACTGACAATATCAGAATTTGGAGATATTAATGTTGCCATCAAATAGGAAATGAATCAAGTAAACTATGGTTCTCAACTGGCTAGAGACATCCACCAGCACAATCCTACTTAACCTTTACTGAATTTCTCCTTTGCATCATTTTTCTAAGCATTTTGCATATAATAACATATTTCATTTTCACAGTAACCTTATGAGGTAGGTGCTCACTATTGCCATTTAACAGATGGGACTATTGAGGCACAAACAAGTTAAGTCCATTAATCAAGGCCACCAAGCCAGGGAGTCTTTTTTTCCCCCTTTGAGACAGAGTTTTGCTCTTGTTGCCCAGGCTGGAGTGCAATGGCTCGGCCTCGGCTCATTGCAACCTCCACCTCCCAGGTTCAAGTGATTCTCCTGCCTCGGCCTCCCAAGTAGCTGGGATTACAGGTGCCCACCAACATGCCCAGCTATTTTTTGTATTTTTAGTAGAGACGGGGTTTCGCCATGTTAGCCAGGCTGGTCTCGAACTCCTGACCTCAGGTGATCTGCCCGCCTTGGCCTCCCAACGTGCTGGGATTACAGGCATGAGCCACTGCGCCCGGCTCACCAGGGTGTCTTATTTTGGTATCAGTGCTTTCTCAATCAATACACCATACTGCTGTTAATAGCGTGCATGATGGACATGAGGCAATACATAATAAAAGAATCATTTATGACACGTTATATGAAAATGCAGAATTAACATTTTGTAAGTTGTTAAAACCGCAGGCAGTCACACGTGTATGTGGATATGAGCTGGACCTGGAAAGGAATTGGGTTCTGGCGATGAGCTTATGGCCGATCTACCTGAATCTTTTGAACTTTCATAATATTATTATATGATTTTTACAAACAAAAATACGAAGCCAGGGTAATCACACAAATGTTAATTCAAAAGCCTATTTCAATGATTTACATTTCCTCCATATGATTGATTTTATATATTTACTTGAACAAGTTTTTCCTTGCTACTTTTCCTCTTTTAAAAATGTGTCACATACATCTTCTTCAATAGGATTTTTAAAGAAGGTAATTAAATCCACGTATAAACATATGGTTATGTCTAGTTACACAATTAATGTTAATATATGGCATGTAATCATCATCTAATTGGAATTATATAGCATGTGGTGACATAATTATAACATGTAATGATGGCAAGATCCTTATTTAAGCCGAGTGTAATGACTGCAATTTGAATTAGATTATTCTTAAATTATAATTTCCTAGTTGCTTTAAGAGTCCCTCAGGGACAGGAACAGGCTGAGTCGTGCCTATTGTTAGGAAGAAAAAAGAAAACAATTTAAGTACCTAAGAAAATAAGGTGATCGGAAATGTGATATTTTCTGTCTTAATCAGGCAGAAAAGAAAGGGCTTTAACTAAAGCATATTTTTATATTATTTGTTAAATAAAACTTGCTTTCAAGCTGTGACCAAAAAAAATGTCACTTTAGGCTGACCTTTGGGATTCACCTCATCGGTCCACAGAGGATATCCATTAATCACAGAATGGGGTACAGAGGGAAAGCACTGCCATCCTGGTGATGTTCACCCCCATCCACAAGTCACTTTACCCTGATCCCCCATGAGTTTTTTTTCTGCACCAGACATCCTGTTACAAATGTCTTGTCCTTTGCAGAAAGTTCTCCTTCTGAAAAGGGCAAAAGATGACATCCTCAAACTCGCAGCAATAATTGGAAGGAGAGACACGAACTCCCCGTTGCTCTGGAGAAAGTGATGAAAGTTCCCGGGGCTCTGGCTAATGACAGGAAACACATAAGTGGACAGAGTATCAGGTATCAATAAATGAGTCTGGGAGTAATAAAACAAATTAGGGAAGGGAAAATGTAAGCTAAACGTGGAAGTGTCTCTTTGAGCTGAGCTGCCTGAAGTGCAACAGCCTGCCACGGAGAAGAACGCTCTGAGCCGCCCACGTTTAATCAGTGCAAATCCCACAGATTTAGATATTGGAGATGAGAAGCAGCAGGACTTGCTGAATAAGTAGCTCTCAAACATGGAGGTTGTGGAATATTTTTGTTTTGCTTTGATGCCTTAAAAGCTGTAAGCACGCCTCAGCATTGGGGCTCGGAGGCTTTGGAGTGGGCATTCTTTGTTTTTAAGTTGTTTCTGCTGAGATTTTCTTCCTTGCTTTAAATGAACTGTGGGAAACTCCTTTGGGAACCCGTGGTTCTTGCAGAGTTCCGTTTAGGAACCGTAGCTGAGGCCTTTGCTTTTTGTACCAGGTAGTATTCCTGGAGGGTGGTAAGGTGGGCTCAGTGTTTTCAGGAGTGTTGGACTTGTGGCTCTGTCCCTAACCTTCTCTGTTAGAGTGGATGAGCCAATTTATCCCTCTGAATTGTATCCTCATATGTTAGATGAAGGTGGGAATAAGAAAAGTTCTAAGCAACCTTGGACAAAAAATAGATCCTTTTTGTTAGAAGCCTCCATGATTTGAATTCTAAGTCATCAGAAAGGGTGGCCTTATTGGGAGGGACTGATGGTAGCTTTGGCCTCCATCAGCCTTGGGATTCCAATCTCTGACTCTGTTTAACTCCTAACAACAACATTCACTTAACCTGCAGGTTTGGGCCAAATCAGAACACACCAAACCTGCAGAATAAAGTGGAATGTGGCTCATGGCCATGTTGAAGCAGGAATTATCATGATTTTATAACCAGGTGAATCAGTCTCAATTTGGAGGTTCTTGTGGGCTTAAACCCACCAGGACAAACCCACCTAAGAAAGTGCAATTATTTATTATTTTTCCTTTGACCATTGTCTCAAAGAGTGGCCCTTGTCCACTGGAGGTCCTCTCTCAGGTCCTTATGGATTAGAAGAACCATCATTAGCTGAGGTCAGACTCTTATGCAAGCAACCAGGGATGGTAGAAAGGGTGTGTCCTCCAGGTTCCTTGGGGTGCAAAGGCTGAAAGAATGGGGGCCCTGGGCCTTCTTGGTGGGCTGTTGTTCCCTGTTCTCTCTGCCACAAAGAGGGTCCTGGAAGCAGGAGTGTATTGGACTTGAGAAGGTTTGGAGGAAGGTGGGGAATGGCATACGGGTCTACCTCTTATTTATCCAGGCATCCTGGTCCTGCCAGACCTAGCATAGTGGTGTCCCAATTACTATCCTAGATCAGCCCCTACTTGTAGAACAGAATGAACCCTGGATGCCCTTGGATTCCTCCCAGATTGCTCAGGGAGTTCCAATAGGTCTCTCCCAAGTTCTATGGATGCTAACCTTTCTTGTAATCATTTTCCCTTCTTCTGATTTTATCACCAGCCTCTTGGGGGGCCCCAGGATACAGTTCAAATGCCAGCTTGTCTGCTCAGGAATTAAGGGGTTCCTGCCGCTGCTCCACTCTTCAGGTATTTGAGGAATTTTGACCCTTCATGGTTCTCCACCCCAATGTCTTCTGATTATTTGTTATAGTGCAACAAACAGATGCATAGAGACACAGGGGTGTGCATACTTAGTTCTTTATGCACAGGGTAATGCCATTCCTCTTTTGTGCAGTTGTCATATTCTTTTATTAGAAGCCTTCCTATCCATCTGGCCATCTACTTAAACTTGGGGGCCCAGTCTGGAAATCAATCTAAGACACACATTTTCCTTTAAGCCTAAAGTATCTCTATCCTTGTATGCAAACACTTGGTCTTTGGAACAAGCTCTATTCATGAACTCAGGCATGGAGGCCCCTGCTAGACTTCCATGATGAAGAAAACCTGAAAGTTCCAATGAGAACAGGGCTTAGGGAAGATTCTGGGTCTCCAAATACAAGGGTCAAAGCAAATGGCAAAACTGCAAGTGAGTTGTATGTGTTGACACGATGATAAAATTGACTTCTTCACTAGGTATCAAGGTACAGTAGACATTGCACACTCACTGGAGGTTGCAGATTTCCAAAACGAATGAACTAGAACTAGTTTCACAACTCTTGGACTCCCCAGACAGAGTCCCCTGGTCCAGTTTGAGGCTATATAACCATTGAAGAAGTTAAAGAGAGAGAATTTTGAAAGAGGATTTTTAGAGACGGCTGTGGAATCTGTCAGTGCCTCTCCCCGCACCCCATCCCAGAGCCAATGGGTTGGGGAGGAAGGCCTTCTTACCTAAACTTTAGTGATGGGAGTTTGGAACAGGCATCTTGGAACAGGATATGGATTCTGGCTGTAAGCAGAGGAGACAATGAAGGAGAAAGAGAAATGGTAGAAGAAAGAAGGAGCTGTAGGAGGAGAAAGGATTTCACATTAAAACAAGTTTTGGCAATCCAATTTCTGAACAGAAACCATGTTTGCTATTTAAAGTCACTTGCAGGTTTGTCTCTGGCCTAAGAATGAATTGGATATTCTGGGATACCCGATAAGGCAACTGGAGACAGCAATCAAGTCAAGTTTCTAGGCAAGCTAAACATGTCCTGCCCCTGCTTGAAAGAACCTTATGTTGTTAAACAGGGAAAATTCATGATAAATCATTAGCTTCTCATATACACGAATAACAAGCAGAGGGAGGATAGACCAGGGTTTGAATTCTGCCCCTTTGTAGTACTTAGAAAAATATCTTATCTTCCCAATCCTTAGTTCATCCATATGTCAAAGAGAGACTTCAACCCTTGCTTTGTTTGGTTATCATGAGAACTTCGTGAATCATATTAGCAAAGTGCAGTCAGTTAACCCAACATCTAGCATATAGCTAGGTGGTCAAGAAATGTTATTTCTCTTTCCCTTTTTATAGTAAAGGGAAGAGGAACATTCTTTTTATGGTTCAGCATGAAAGCTGAACCATGGACATTTTTGTATCAAAGATCTTGCTGGAGAGTAGTTGAGCATCATTGAGTTCTCAGAATAACCTAAGGCTGAATAATTATTTAATCATGTTGAATAATTAGATGAAACCTATGAATTAGAACATGAATAACCACAAATATGGATGTAAAGCCCAACCTCGTGGGAAAAGACATCTGTCCTCATAAGCTTTCTCAGTTAGGAAAGAAGTCCTTGTCTCAGAAATTCTGTTTAAAAGCTAACAATAAATATAGAAGGAACTCAAACTATTTAATTCTGTTTGTTGATGTTGTTGTTGTTGTTGTTGTTGTTGTTGTTGTTGTTTTGAGACAGAGTCTTGCTCTGTCGCCCAGGCTGGAGTGCAGTGGTCCCATCTCGGCTCACTGCAAGCTCCGCCTCCTGGGTTCACGCCATTCTCCCACCTCAGCCTACCGAGTAGCTGGAACTACAGGCACCTGCCATCATGCCTGGCTAATTTTTTGTGTTTTTAGTAGAGACGGGTTTTCACCATGTTAGCCAGGATGGTCTCGATCTCCCGACATCATGATCCACCTGCTTTGGCCTCCCAAAGTGCTGGGATTACAGGCGTGAGCCACTGTGCCCAACCTATTTAATTCTGTTTTAAAAGCTAACTGGAATATATAAAGAGCTCAGACAACTTTACAGAAAAAAGATCTAATAATCTGATCAAAATATGGGCAAAAGATTTGAATAGACATTTCTCAAAAGAAGACATACAAATGGCAGACATATGAAAATGTGCTCAATATCATTGATCATCAGAGAATTGCAAATGAAAACTACAATGAGATATCATCTCACCCTGTTAAAATGGTTTATACCCAAAAGGTAGACAATAACAAATGCTGGCAAGGGTGTGGAGAAAAGGGAACCCTCATACACTGTTGATGGGAATGTAAATTAGTACAACCACTATGGAGAAGAGTTCGGAGGTTCCTCAAAAAACTAAAAATTGAGCTACCATAAGATCCAGCAATCCCACTGCTGGGTATATATCCCAAAGAAAGGAAATCAGTATATCAAAGAGATATCTGCACTCATATGTTTGTTGCAGCACTGTTTACAATAGCTAAGATTTGGAAGCAACCTAAGTGTCCGTCAACAGAAGAATGGATAAAGAAAATGTGGTACATATACACAATGGAGTATTATTCACCCATAAAAAAAGTATGAGATTCAGTGATTCGCAACGACACGGTGGAACTGGAGGTCATTATGTTAAGTGAAATAAGCCAGGCAGGGAAAGACAAACATCACATGTTCTCACTTATTTGAGGTACCTAAAAATCAAATCAATTGAACTCATGGACCTAGGGAGTAGAAGGATGGTTACCAGAGCTTGAGAAGGGTAGTGGGGGGATGGGGGAAGGTCGAAATGGTTAATGGATACAAAAAAAATAGAAATAATTAATAAGACCTACTATTTGATAGCAGAATAAGATGACTAAAGTCAATAATAACTTCATTGTACATTTTAAAATAACAAATGGCATAATAGGATTGTTTGTAACACAAAGGATAAATGCCTGAGGGGATGGACACCCCATTCTCCATGATGTGCTTATTTCACATTGCATGCCTGTATCAAAACATCTCATGTACCCCATTAATATATACGCCTACTATGTACCCCAAAAATTTTTTTAAAAATAAATAAAATTTGCCGGGCGCGGTGGCTCACGCCTATAATCCCAGCACTTTGGGAGGCCGAGGCGAGTGGATCACAAGGTCAGGGGTTCGAAACCAGCCTGACCAACATGGTGAAACCCCATCTCTACTAAAAGTACAAAAATTAGCCGGGCGTGGTGGCGGGCGCCTGTAATCCCAGCTACTCAGGAGACTGAGGCAGGAGAATTGCTTGAACCCAGGAGGCAGAGGTTGCAGTGAGCCGAGATCACGCCACTGCACTCCAGCCTGGGCAACAGAGTGAGACTCTGTCTCAAAAATAAATAAATAAATAAATAAAATGTATGTCTGATCTAAAAAAAGCTAATAATGATAGCTCCTTTATTGAGTGCTTACTGTGCGCCTGAGATGGTTCCAACCATTTTCTTTACAGGTTGCTTTATTTCCTCCATCTGCACAGATGAAGAAACTGTGGCACAGCCAGGTCCAAGCACTTGCCCCAAGCAGTTACTCAGTGGCAGAAGCAGCTTTTGAACTGAGATAAGCCTGTGCACTAATCTGCTATGGTACAGACCTGCCTTTTGAGATATACCGAGCCAAGACTGGCTTTGTCTAGTGTGCCAAACGAACAAGGCCCTGGGAAATTGCTTAGCAGTGACAGTCACGTCTCAGGAATGGCTGCTGAATATGAACAGGGACTGCCAGACAGCTGCTTCCTGATCTAATGGCCTCTCTTTCTAAGGGCTGTCTTCCACATCTACTACGTGGATCACATTCAAAAGCAGGGCTATGCTTCTTCTGGAAGCAAGGAGCTACCTTGAATACAGAAAAATATTCAGGTCTTTATTGCCATCGTAAATTACTTGTGGCCTTGTGAAAGGCTGAGGATGTCGCCAAGCAGGAAACTGTCAATATACCATCAAAGCCTCCCCACCCCATCCTGGCCCCCAATCTGTGCATTGATTATTGTTCTACAAAACCAGCAAAAAATAAATGTTTAAACTAAGTTCAAAAATGAAGCAAAATAATACCCTCTAAATATATGTCTCTCCGTGTGTATTTAATGTATCAATTTATAGTCAAAAGCTAGAAATTATCTACCAAGGAGGCAATTTATACTGTATTTTTTGTCCCTAGAGGAAAAAATGCATGCCTTCTCACAGAATAGCAAAATTTGCAATATGATTGTTTTATATATATTTTAGGCCATTTGTGCAACAAATAAAATATTTTTAAATCAACCAGAAACAAGTCATATTTTGTAATAGTATTAAAAAATAGAATCTATTAGTTACATGCCTCATTTAAAAAGGCTGAATTGTTGGCGGGCAATTTGAGGGTATTAGTTGCATGGAAACACTTGCTTTGGATGGTTGATCACGATTTTATGTTTTAATTCAACACAAGATTAGTTGTTATTTTGATTTGTCCAACTCTAATATCATTGAATATTAAATCATTCACCAATACACTTTCTATTTCTCATTTTTTTGATAATGATGAATATTTAAAAAATAAAAATGCCATTCAAAAACAGGGCTTTCTTTCCTATATTGTTGATGCAATTTTCTACTCTGTAATTCTGACTATATTCCACATATATAACTAATGTGTTTGTCAATCACTCATTGATTCATTCATTAAAAATATATTTATTGAGCCAGGAATATATGTCAGGAACTGGGTTAGCTGCAGAGGGACAAAATGATGAGCAATATGGTCATATTTCCTGTTTTTAAGAAGCTTATGGTCTTGAGCAAGTGTTGGCAAAGCTTTTCTCTAAAGAGCCAGGTATTTTAGTTTTGTGGGTAGTTGCAACTACTTAACGCTGCTGTTACAGTGTGAAAGCAGCTATGAACAATATGCAAATGAGTTAACATGGCTATGTTCCAGTAACACTTAATTTTGCAAAAACAGATGGTGAGCTGGATTTGACCCGAGGGCTGTAGTTTTCCAATCCCTGGTCTAGAAAGGAAAGTAAATATTTATCAAATAATCACACAGATTATTTGCCATGGTAAGTTTGCTAGTTGTAATTCACAGTTGGCTTAAGGGCCATGAAAGACAGCTGCCTTTCACTGTAAGCATGAGCAATAGACTGGTTCCAAGTGGACAAAAAGGTCAGAGAAGTATCTCCTGGGAGAGGAACTATTGAGCTGAAGTTTGAATCAAGAAGTAGATGTTAACCTGGTAAAGAGCGAAGGAAAGAGCATTGCATGCAGCAGGAACAATATACGCAAAGGCCTTGTGATGCAAAGCTGTTCTAGTTTTACGGAGTGAAGGAAGACCACAGTGATTGAAACAAAGTAAACAAGAGGGAGTGCCATAAAACATGGAGACGTGGACAGAGCTTTTCAGATGACTAGATATTGAACAATGCTAAAGTGAAGAGTGTTTTGTTAGGTCTCCCCAAAGGGCCAACTCTCAGCTTCCATTTATAAATCTGGACCGGGAGCCCAAAGCTAAGGTCATTTCCCCCAAACCAAAGCAAGGCTGTGAGGTTCAGTCATGCGTCTCCTGAGAGTGGAAACTTGGCCTTAACTGACTTTACTGCTGTGGGTGGACACATGGCTGGACACAGTGAGGAATGAAGGAGCCAATTTGAGGGCAATCGGAAGACTCAACTGGAGTCTTGGCTTCCCCATGTGACCTTCATGAAATCATGAATACTCATGATGTAACAAACTTTAGAGATCATCCAGCTCTGCAGTTTTCACCTCGTATTTCCAGGATCCCCAGATTTCTGCAAAAAATACTCTGGAAAGCCCAGGTAGGTGAGGAAGACAGTGGGCAACCAGGGTTTCAAATCATTCTGCTCTATTAAGATCTATGAAAAGATAATTGAATCCTGAATAAGATTCCACATTCTTAAAGGTGGCAGAGGGGAGGAGAAAAAAGTTTGAAATCTATTACCCTATAGACAATTTCTATTACATTATGGACACTTCCCATGGAAAGAAACCAGCTCCCCTCACTTTCCATTGTGCTTGCTGCCGCTCAGCTTGAACTACACGTCCTGTCTGATTTCTTATGCAAGGTTCTGGACATCCAGGAGAAAAAGCTCCTCCTGGGAGATTTTCTCAGATGGCCTTTGGCTGCAGTGGTGCATCTTGGGAAAACCTGAGGCTTCTGCTGACTGGCTGTACATTGTGCACCATAAGCCTGTCCTCTGAAATAGATATCAGTTCACCCTCCCTTCTTATGCACAGGCCTGTGGTCCCATTCAAGGACATCAGATGGGTAAATAAAGTAACTCTGCAGACACTGAAATGCAAAATGTAAATGGGACATGGAAACTGAAATGTCCTGTTATAATTCAGGACTTTTCAATTATTTATTTCAGGACTAATTCAATTATTTCTTTCAAATTTTATTTTAGATATGGGGGTACATGTGCAGGTTTGTTGTCTGAATATATTGTGTGATGCTGAGGTTTACGGGTCTGAATGCTCCTGTCACTTAGCAGAGTACCTAATAGTTTTAAAACCCTTTCCTTCTCTCCCTCTCACCTCCAGTAGTTCCCAGTTTCTATTGTTCCCATCTTCATGTCCACGAGTATCCAATATTTAGTTGTCACTTACAAGTGAGAATATACAGGACTTGGTTTTCTCTTTCTCCACTAATTCTCTTAGGTTAAAGGCCTCCTCATGCATCCATGTTGCTGCAAGGGACATGGTTTTATTCTTTTATATGGCTGTGTAGTGTTTCATGGTGTATATGTGCTACATGTGCTTTATCAAATCACCTAGGTTGATTTTATGACTTTGCTATTGTGAATAGTGCTGTAATGAATATCCAAGTGCATATTTCTTTTTGGTAGAATAATTTGTTTTCTTTTCAATATATACCCAGTAATAGGATTGCTGGGTTCAATGGCAGTTCTGTTTAAAGTTCCTTGAGAAATCTCCAAACTGCTTTCCACAGTGGCTGAATTAATTTACATTTCCACCAGCAGTGTATAAGTGTTATCTTTTCTCTGCAGCCTCACAAGCCTGTTGTTTGTTGACTTTTTAATAGTAGCCATTCTGACTGGTGTGAGATGATATTTCATGGTGGTTATGATTTGTGTTTCTCTGATAATTAGTGATGTGAAATTTTTTTATGTTTCTTGGCCACTTGTATGACTTTTTTTTTTTTTTTTTTTCTTTTTTTTGAGAGGGAGTCTCGTTCTGTTGCCCAGGCTGGAGTGCAGTGGTGCAATCTCAGCTCACTGCAAGCTCCGCCTCCCAGGTTCACGCCATTCTCCTCTCTCAGCCTCCCAAGTAGCTGGGACTACAGGCGCCGCCACCATGCCTGGCTAATTTGTGTGTGTGTGTGTGTGTGTTTAGTAGAGACAGGGTTTCACCGTGTTAGCCAGGATGGTCTCGATCTCCTGACCTCATGATCTGCCCACCTCAGCCTCCCAAAGTGCTGCGATTACAGGAGTGAGCCACTGCGCCCAGCCATGACTTCTTTTGAGAAGTGTCTATTCATGTCTTTTGCCCATTTTTTGATGGGGTTATTTATTTTTTTCTTGTTCATTGTTTAAGTTCCTTATAGATTCTGGATATTAGATCTTTGTCAGATGCAACATTTGCAAAAATTTTCTCCTCTTCTGTAGGTTTTGTTTTTCCTCTGTTAAAAGTTTCTTTTGTGTGCAAAAGCTATTTACTTTAATTGAGTCCCACTTGTCAATTTTTGTTTTTGTTGTAATTGCTTTTGAGGACTTAGTCATAAATTATTTCCCAAGGCTGATGTCCAGGATGGTGTTTCCCAGGTTTTCTTCTAGGATTCTTATAGTTTAAATTTTTAATTAATCTAGAGTTAATTTTGCATATGTTGAAAGGTAGGGGTCCAGTTTTATTCTTCTGCATATGGGTGGCCAGCTATCCCAGCACTATTAATTGAATAGAGAGCATGTTGACTTTTTTGAAGATCAGATGGCTGTAGGTATGTGGCTTTATTTCTGGGTTTTCTATTCTCCTTCATTGGTCTGTGTGTCTGTCTTTGTACCACTACCATGCTATTTTGGTTAATTTGCAAATGATATAAATCTATACCTAGAAAACCCTAAAGGCTTCACCAATCAGCCATCAGCCATGAGTTCCAGGCTCCAGAAACTGTTGAACAACTTTGGTAAAATTTCAAGATACAAAATCAATGTACAAAAATCAGTAGCATGTCTATATACCAATTATATTCAATCTGAGAGCCAAACAAAAAAAAATGCAATCTCATTTAAAATAGCCACAAACAGAATAAAATACCTAGGAATGCATTTAACCATGGTAAAAGATCTCTACGAGAAGAGCACTGCTAAAAGACATAGTAGATGACACAAACAAATGGAAAAACATTCCACACTCATGGATTGGAAGAATCAATAACATTAAAATGGCCATACTGCCCAAAGCAATCTACAGTTTCAACATGATTCCTCTTAAAGTATCAACATCATTTTTCACAGGACTAAAAAAAACTTGATTTTTCATTCCTGTCTTCAGTGTGGCTCTAAGGTTCGATTTTCAAATTCAATAATTACTGCCATTTTAAAGTGGGATAACTTCTACTGGAATCAAGAGGCTTGCATTCTTATCTGCCTCTTCCATTGCTTTTTTTCTTTTTTTGTCGAGACAGAATCTCACTCTGTCACCCAGGCTGAAGTGCAGTGGTGGGATCTTGGCTTGCTAAAACCTCCACCTCCCGGGTTCAAGCGATTCTCCATCCTCAGCCTCCCAAGTAGCTAGGACTACAGGCGAGCACCACCATGGCTGGCTGATTTTTGTTTTTTAGTAGAGGCAGGGTTTTGCCACATTGGCCAGGCTGGTCTCGAACTCCTTACATCAGGTGATCTGCCCACCTCGGCCTCCAGAAGCTGGGATTACAGGCACGAGCCACCATGCCTGGCCTCCATTGCTTTTTAATGTCATCCCATGTTACAGTTGGCATTCCTATCACAATTTTTCTTATGTGCCCCTTGAATTCAATTTGTTGCTTCCCGATCCATGTCTTTTGCTGCACAGGCCTGCCAATTCTTGCCTCTACTTATTTAATGCCAACATCAAACAGAATCTGGTAAATAAAGGAGCAAATTCATTCCTCATTTCTGAGGTTGGGTTTAGCTGTGATAAACCTGTTGTGTTCCAATTTAGAAATGTACTAAACTTAACTACACTTCTCCCAATATAGCCTTTGGATCTGTATTGGCAAATGTTTCATCAGACAAGCTGCAAACAGTTCTGACTGCTGAAAATCTCCAAAGTGGATGTTCCATGGGCTTTTTAGCCAGAAACTACCTTAGATAAGTGATGGCCAAAGTGTACAGGTGAATCAGCAATTTTAGCTACTTGGTACATTCTAAATTTATACGACCTCATTCTCCAGCTCTTCAACTCAGCATGTGGGAGAGAAAAAGAAGATGTCCAAATAGCTGCTCCCATTAAAATCCCCACGTGTATGAACTCATAAAGCCCCATGTCCCTGTTTCAGGCTGGGATTCCGCATTTCAGCTTTGCTGTTGGCAGCAAGACGCTGTCAGGTCCCTACAACTGGTTCTTAAATGTGCTGTGCTCTTCTCCCTTGGTCACGGAATTGGACTGAATTGTTATGATAAAAAGTGCATGCTATTTGGATTCCCAGAAGGCAATATCATAAAATATCCACTTGTCGAATTTTATGTGAGTTGATTATACATTTATCCATTACTCTTCCACTGCCCTCAAAAAAGAATAAGAAAAAAAAAACTTTTTGATTGAGTTTTAAAATAATCATCCATATGAGTGTTCTTTTTTAATTTATGAGACCAATTTCAAATATTAAAGCTTCAGAGTAAAGAGAATAAAGACCTACTCTGCAGTAAAGCAAAAAGGCACAATGAGAGCTGCAGTCTGGAAGAATTTTTAAATTGCTGCTAATGGGAAAAATGAAATGAGGCAAGTGGGGATAAAAAGCAGGTTCTTGTGATTGTTCTTTAAAGGCAGAGCCTTCTAATGCCTGCAGAAATGTATATTGCAGAGACCAGAAAAGTGGATTTACTTATTGTGTAATAATTACATTACGGAAGTAAGCATACATCTCTTATGTGATGTCTGAGAATTCATATTCGGGAAGACTTCAGTATGCCACTTTCGAATCCAACAAGGTATTACATGGCAGAGAAATTCACAAGGGGTTTGTTAATGCTAAAAAATCAAGATACAAAAAGGTACACTGAATTAATGAAAAAATGCCATTTAAAAATTGGAGAGAGTATACCAAGCATTTTGCATACATTTTCAAAATCTGGTCATCCGCTTTACAAAACAAGGAACACTAAAGGCCAGTAGTGTGTTGGAGTCAACTTTCACTAAATCAAGTCAACTTTCACTAAATCATGATGGCTGATTTTTAATTTCTAGGAATCTTGTGAAGTGGTTGCTGAACTTAACCATTACTTTAAAAACACAGACTATAAACTCACTATTAAATACTTTATAATAAAACAAAGGCAATATTCAAAAGTTAACAGTTTCCATTTTTCTAATATTTTTGTCCTTAAATTTACTTATAGTTATTATCACTGTATGGTGCAAAGACTATAGATTGATGTAATACTGTACATCTCTCCCTACCTTCACATTCAGTAGGACGAACTGTCACTTGAAATAGACCACAGTGGGAATTTTTACCCCCTCCAAAATCAGCAAATGATGTAAACTACAGCTTAATTCATTATTTTGTTTTTTGTCTAGACCTAAGATAATTATGGAGAAAATGTTTATGAGGCAGAATAAATTTAAGAGAAGGAGGTCAGGTGCAGTGACTCATACTTGTAATCCCAGCACTTTGGAAGGCCAAGGCAGGAGGATTGCTTGAAGCAATCAGGAGTTCGAGACCAGCCTGAAGAACATAGAGAGACTCTGTCTCTCTAAAAAAAAATTTAAATTAGCTTGGCATGATGTCACACTCCTACAGTCCCAACTACTTGGGAGACTGAGGTGGGAAGCTGGCTTGAGCCCAGGAATTCGAGGCTGCAGTGAACTGTGATCATAACACTACACTCCAGCTTGGATGAGTGAGTAAGACCCATCCTTGCCTCAAAAAAAAAAAAAAAAAAAAAAAAAAAAAAAAAAAAAAAGGAACGTGTCCACAGCTATTAGATTGTGAATAGCATAAAAATTCCTTCAGAAACTATTCTTTCATTACTCAAAAATTATTATTTGATTTGGCAACAACATCACTTAGGTCACTAAGTGATTAGTGATATTATTTCACTAATAAATAAGTGAAATTCTCACATGTGCCTTTGTTGTTTCACTGTTATCTTATTGTAAATGTAAATTAAACAGCAACAAACAATTCATTTCAGAACTACAATCACTCAGTCAGTCCCAACCACAGTTTAGCTGTGGGTGTAAGAGTAGGCAAAAATCAATGAAATGATTCTGCGATTAACAATCGGCTATAGGAAATTTATACTACAGAGTATTGTATACCGTATTTATAAAATGTATGCTACACATCTTTTATATCAGTAAAATCTATGATAAACTCCTGTGTGTATATATGTGTATATATTTTCAAAACACCAGCACACAACTGAGTAAGGCTCAGAGACTGTCTTCCCTGAGGTCACACAGGGAAGTGATATCCTAAAATTCAGATATCATCTTGTCCCTCTACAGCAAGTAGTGGGTATTAAGGAACTGAGTGGGTATTAAGGAATTGTAGTGGGTATTAAGGAACTGAGGCTGGTGATAGTGAGTAGCATCTATTAGAGGAGGTGAAAAATGTCGATGGCCCAGGCGTTTCTGCAACCCTTTCTTTACAGAAGTCACCACTGCTTTCTATGCAATCTCCTGTTTGTTTTTTTCTGACAGTTGCTGGGAAGGGTTGGTCTGATAAAACCCATGGCCACCTCAATACTGTCCCTCCTTTTTTTTTTTTTTTTTTTTTTTTGAGACGGAGTTTTCACTCTTGTTGCCCAGGCTGGAGTGCAGTGGCACGATCTCGGCTCACCACAACCTCCGCCTCCCGGGTTCAAGCAATTCCCCTGTCTCAGCCTCCCGAGTAGCTGGGATTACAGGCATGTGCCACCACGCCCGGCTAATTGTGTGTTTTTAGTAGAGACGGGGTTTCTCCGTGTTGGTCAGGCTGGTCTCGCACTCCCAACCTCAGGTGATCTGCCCGCCTCGGCCTCCCAAAGCGGTGGGATTACAGGCGTGAGCCACGGCGCCCGGCCTCCTCCTTCTTTTGATCATATAATTAAACACGCACGAGCCTAACCAAACCACGTGTATGCGAGTCTTTCATCAATTACGTTTCCAAGCCTTACCATTGTCAGCCCTCTGCCTCCCTTTCCTGTAAAACATAGGCACAAATTTTAAGGAAATCGTTCTCTCACCCTTTTTAAAGTAATGTCAGTTTCAGACAAAACACGCTCTTCAGTAGTTCCCTATTGTAGGAGCTAGCACTTAAAATAGGCGCATGACCACTTTTATCTGAAGTTTTTTCTTGCTGTGTAACAGCAATAAAATAAAAATCTTACATTTTTTACAGAACTTTAAGCTTTATAATGTATTTTACCACCACTGTATCTTTTGACGCTCATTACAGCAGTGAGATATGTAGGATAGATCTCATGTAACTTAAAAGGAAATTGAGGCTCAGGAAGATTAAAGCAAGTCTGTATGGTTATTGCCCTATCATATCGTAACTCAGGTTTTATTTTTCGTCATCACAGCACCAAACACCCTGAAGTGGAAATGTAAAAAGAAAAAATTCATAAGGTTTATTGGGCAAAGCAAGGCAATAAAGAAAATTACAGAATCCAAATAAATTGAGCAGGAAAATGCCCATCAGTTTCTCATTACAGAAACAGAAGAGCAAGGAAAGGAGAGAAAAGGCATTGGAGACAAAAGTTAGTTTTTTGCAAGTGATATTTCTCAAAGAAATAATGATTTCATCTAACCAAAAAATCACATCAGTTCTTGATGTCAATTCACAGCATCGATGAGCTGATTCTTTCATTGTAGAATAAGAAAAATGAAAAGTAATTGAAAAGGTAATATGTATTAGTATTAGCTCACCTCTATGAGCAGTTACCATGTGCCAGACATTTTACCAAGTGTTTTAAGTCAATTACTCATTAATTTCTCAAAATAATCCTGTGAGGCAACACTGTGGTCATTCTAGTCTATAGGTAAGAAAACAGCCTTAAATACATTTCCTCAAGTAAAAAGTTCAGAAACTTTTATTTGAACCCAGGTTTGTCGAACTCCAGAACCTGTACTCTTAACCCCTATGCTAATCTAGAGATAAAGTAGATTGCCTGTTGCTACTCATCTTGAGGCATTTTACAGCTGCTGCTTCTGCTCAAAAAGCCTATGTTTACTTGACATAGAATTGGGTAACTCCAGGAGCAACGTAAGCTTACAATCCAGCCCTGGACATCAGTGCAGAGCCTGCCCATGGGGGTCAGTGCGGACTAACAGAGGAACCCAACCTTGGCATGGATTGGCTGTATTTCTTTGGGCACATGGCATCATCTCTGAACCAGCTTCTTTATGATAATGATAGGTGAACTTTTGCAAGGGCTCACTGGGACAAAATGTATTAAATTGCCTTGTACTGGAATGTCTGAGGTACTCAGTAAATGCTACTGCATCCTTGCACATTTTGGATTTGCATCATAGGAATGTTCCACCAGGAAGATTCAAATAAATTTCCCTAGGTATGAGCTGGACCCCAAGCAGAATACAACTGCCTGGGAGAACTACACAAAATGGGAGAGGGCAGATGTCTATGGCTTTCCATATTCCACACCTCACAAGCATGGAAATGGCACTGATGGGGTGTATGTGTGATCACTCAGAGGTAACCCTGTGCATTTATCCTCATTTCTCCACCCAAGGCCTCTCAATGATCTGAGGACCCACACAGTCCTCTGTGGCTATGAGTTTTAAAGGTTATTGAAACTAAACATCTTTCACTTTCACCATCCTTTCTTCTTTCCAAAAGGAATTTTCCTCTATTTTCTCCAGAGTGCTCTTGATTCTCTGCCTTTTGCTAGGGAATTTAATTAATGCATCCTAATAAAAAGGAGAAACCATGTGAATGTGAGTTAGCAGGCTGAAATTCAGGCCACTGCTGTGTCTCATATCGATTATTGCTTCATTTTTTTTACTTGGTTTATCGACTTTCAGCCTCACCCCCTTTCTGGTTCATTCCGCATGGTGATCTTCCTAAAACTCAGATATCATCTTGCCCCTCTACAGCAAACATTTCTTCACTGGCTCTTCATGTCTTCAAAGGAAATTCCAAACCACACTGAAAACCTCCCATTTTCCATCAAGCTCCAGTACCAGATCAATTCTTCAGCCTTATCTCTCACCATTTTAATACCATCTGATACTGTAGTTACACTGGATTATTTGTAGTTCTGCAAATTGAAGACTTTACTCAGATTATTTCTGCCTTTCTCTTATAATTCTTCGAACCCAGATTGAGTATCAACAGTGTCTGGAGAACCTGGGCTGAAAGGCAGTGGCTATTTTGTGCTTTTTTACATACTCTATCACACTCTATCTATCTCTATCACAGCTCTTACCTGGTAAGGTGATAATTGTTGCTTACTTATCTCTTTCTTTCACTAGTTCAGGAGTTCTTAAACAACAGGAACTGTGTCTTTCTTTCTCTATATTACCAGCATTCCTTCTAGGGCTTTGTATATAGACGGCAATTTGGAAATGTTTATTAAATGAATGCATCTTACTTATTGACATAAAATACATTCAGACTTATAAACATGTATAGCCATAACTATATCTCCATCCACCTCTGCAATTTTAAAACGATAATGTATAAATAGAAACTGAAAATCAGAAGAGATAAGTTTCAGTTTCAGCTCTGCTACTTATAAACTGTGAGCATTCGGGCAAGTCAATGAACTTTTTAAATCTCTTTATCAGTAAAATGGATGAGTACATCCACTCTAGCTATCTCAGAGAATGTATCATGACTAGATGTGACTGCAGGATGGATCTGGTCGTACCCCAGCCAAATCTCCCTTTTGGAGTGAAGGACCTATTAATTTCACCAAGTGATGGGCCAGATAACAGCAACAGATTGCTAGCTGTCAACCCTATGGGGAGTGCCTTGCTCAAGATTAATTCCTTTTCCTAGCAAGGCTCTTATTTAGTGACTTGGTACAGGTAAGGTTACAAAGATGGGGAAGAGCAATCCCATCTTCAGAGCTTCCCACGGGGTTTGAGGTCTCTTCTGACACCATCACACAGCTCCACATCTCCCTGTTCCCATCCTGCTATGCTTCAGTCCATACTACAGATGCTGCCTCCAGGGACTCTCTCGATTGTACCTCCTGCATGCTAATTTATTAATCTCCAAAATTCCCTTTATCAAAAAAAAAAGTTATCTTGCAAAGGGGTCATGAGCACAGACTTCTAGTGTTACTTAGTATAGATATTGTAAAAATAGGGTTTTATATGGAAAACTGTAAAGACAGAGCAACAATAAAGCACATATAATCCAAGTTCTCCCATTCCATAGAAAGGTATGCTTAGGTTACACAAAGCTAAAATAGATCCATCATGGCAAATGATCCAGTAGAATGGTTATGTTTATACCCCCTCCCACAACTAAAGTTTTCTATGTATTTGTAGGGGGTGTGTGCAGGGACTATCTATGTGACTATATAACTATGGAAAAATTACCTTGCTAGAAGGAGGGACTATGTGAGGCCCAGTAGCTAGAATCAGTTTTTTCTTTCTTTGAGCTATTTTGCACCTGCTAAGCCAGCTTCTGCTAAAATACTAAAAGGGGGAGAAAATGAGGACCATCCAGATTTGCCTCTCTTTGCCTCAAGCCAAAAAAATTCTCAAAGACGCTCATCAAATCTCCACCAGAGTCTTTCTGAACTACATAATAATCATGAAGTCTTTCGATGATAATCTCTAACGTCTACAGTCTAAAACTTATAGATGTGTTATCTCATGCAATCCTTTCAATAATCCTATAGGGTAGAAACTATTATGGAGACTAGATGGGAAACTAGAATTTAATGAAAAGTTAAAATTCTCTCAAAGTCTCATAGCTGGTAGGCAGTTCAGCTTGCATTGGCACCAAGCCAGAAACTACTCTGATCCATGACTTCCGATGAGTTTCGTCAAAAATAAATTATAATTATAATGATATAATGTGTATTAATATCAGTAGAGTACATTATGATACTCTGTCAGATAAAACTAGATTATCTTTCAGATAATGCTATACTAAATAATTGTCTTAAAATATTTTAAAAAAATCTTTGTCATCAAATTTGTGTTTTTAAACTATAATGTATATAGAAATCACAGCAAAATACAAATTTTAGGGCCCCACACCCAACAAGGTTTTAGATAGGCCTAGAAATCTGCCTTTTAGAAAGAATCTTCAGTGATCCTTAGTGAGATGGGTCTCAATCCACACTTTGAGAGATGTGAATCTAGCTGTTAGGTATAGCATTTAAAACCATTAGGCACATGGTCACTTAAACGTACGCTTGATATCATTCTACTAAAAACAAAATTGAGCACTAGACACTTAACTATGACTATTATTAACTTATCTCTACCACATTGTAGATTTTACTTTCACTGTTTTTATTTACAGCAATTTTAATGTCTATATGGGAGGATTATGTATGTTCAATAGAGGTAAATAGTATAGTATCTATCATGTGAAAGGCACTTCAACCCATTATAACTAACCCTCACGTCACCACGATGATTCCTATAAAGTAGAAAATTGAGGTTCAGAGAAGTTAAGAAATATCTCCACATCACACAGTTCATAAATGCCAAAGTTAAGATTTAGATACTGGTTCAGCAAATTGAGTAGCCAATATTGTTTTCACCAAGACACAATTTTTCCCAGTCACAGTCTTCCAATCTGTTGAGTTGCTTCATGACCTCTCAGAGATAACTCAAGTCTAAGTCCTTAAAAAGAGAGCCAGGGGTAAAAGTATTAGGTTCATCTGATGGTGAGTTCTCTTCAAGCCATATACACATTTAGCTCCTCCTCATCTAGAAACAGGGAATTGCCTACGTTTTTAATACAGAAGAGAGAGGCTAAGTATTTGTGTGACCATTTCAAACACTTCCAACTGCTACCACGCCAACAATAAAGGGAAAAGAAAAAAGAATGAGAAGAAAAGAGAACAATTCACATTTAAGGTACTTATTTAGATTAATGAAGCAAAATGTGCCTTCAGAATCTAGCACTAAAGTTTTGCTTCTTTTTTTTTTTTTAATGGTGGGTGGGTGGAAATGTGCCATATTTATCTAAACACATCTTATAAAATCATCTGGTGTAGGTGCAAATTCAGTCTCCTTGCTTCTGGTCTCTTTTTCTTCCCATTCCCTCAGGGGTAGCTTTCTGGGAATTGCTAATTCATTGAGGATGCTGAAGAGGACAGGACCCATGCTGATGACTCACATTCTTTCAAATACAGTCAAGGGTGGGCCGGAGGACTGCTTTGGTTGAATCCCGTTACACACATCCTCTGGCTCTCTACAAGCTATTTGTAGAAGCAGACAGAAAGCTCCAGGAGAGACGATCCTTGTCAGAGGGCTGGGAACAGCACCAGAAAAACTGTTTCACCCCATCTCTGACTCAGATACTTCCTGCCCTGGCTGGAATCAGATGTTGCCAAGACAGCTGTGGGAGAAAAAAAAAATGGAAGAAAACCTAACTTTTCAAAAGTAAGCTTCTATTTAAACGGAAGTTAATCAAGTAGTTGAATTTGGACAAAGATTCAGGTTGTGACTGCCCAATGCCACCAGAAAGTCTGAGCTCAGTGCCAAAGTCCCTCGTGGCTAAATCCACCAGCTCTGGCAGGGTGGGTCTGAGGAATGCACTAGGTGTTAGACACATCCGGACTCCACAGATTCTGCTAGGGGTTCACCTGGATGACAACAACCGAGCAGCCAGGTTGGGGGAGAGTGAAATCTAAAATGCATCTCATTTTCTTTTGTATTTTTTAAAGTAGTGAAGAGCTCATTTCTACCATATTTATTTTCTTTAGTATTTTTTAAATACTAAAAAAAACTCATTTTCTTTAGTATTTTTTAAAGTTTCATGAAGAGGCAATTTCTACAGTATTTATTATTTGTGCTGACTATAGAGGCACTGCTTGATTAAAATAGAATATGGACAATTCACTAAAGCATTAATGGAAAAAGCCACCCAAAGTCTTACCACCCAAAGATAACTACTATAAAAAATTATGCACTTGAATCCATATCAGAACATTTCTACTCTTGTTTCCTAGTCTGTATATATGTATATGTATTATATTAGTGACCTCATATAAGAGTTTTATACCAATTTTCCACTTTATATGAGGTTATTAAAGTTTTTATAAACTTTTTACAATTCTGATTTCTTTCATTTTCTCTCAAATTGTTTTCTCATATAAAAATAACATCTTATACTTACTAAGTGCTCACAATGTGTTGTCACACAGTGTTCTAAGTGCTGTATATATATACATATATATATGTGCTAATTTAATAGTCACAGCAAAGCTTAATTTATATCTGAGGGAACTGAGACTCAGAGAGATGAACTGACTTGCTGAATGTCACACAGCTGAAAAGAGGGGAAGCCAGAACTTTTCCAAGTGATCAGATAAAGAACTCACACTCACTGTATATACCTCTTGTCTCTATATAACAAATCTTCCTTAAAAAAATAGATATATTTTATCATAAAATAACTTTTCTCCTACCATAATACTCTCACTCCAGGGAGCTATTTGTTTAACAAATAATCACTGGGATCATACGCTAGTCCAGACACTGTGCTAGTTATTGGGAAAATACAAAGTTAAAGGGGACACAACTCTGATTCACTCATTAATTTATTAAAGCACAATTTGCTGAACACTACATGTATCCATTGTTCCAGAAGCTAGAGGTATAAAAGGAAAATGGTAGAAGGACTTGTTTCATGGAGTTTATATTCTCATTGGGTGAAGAGAAGACAAAAACTAAGCAAACAAAAATATTTTGTGACGTCAATGTTGTGGAGAAACAGCAAGGCAGGAGGTGAGGAGGTTCTGGTGCTCTTCTCCATGGGTGCTTGGGGAAGGAAGCCCTCACAGGTGAATGGCATTGAAACAGAGACATGGGAGAAGTTAGGGAGTGAAGCACATGGCTGTCTGGAAAAAACCATTCTGCACCATGCCACAGTTCTGAAGAGGGGCATGAACATAAATATAAATAAGTGTTTCATAGCAGGGAAAGCAAGATACAATCCATGGAAGCAAAGACCAGGAAGAGCAAGCCATCGAACATGGCAGGAGGGAAGGCTGCGCATGCGGGGGTGGTGAGGCATAAATGGCCAGAAAGTACGTGGTAACCACATTATAATGAACTTGAATGTCAGATTGTCTTACTGCAGTAAGAAGCTGGTCTACAGTGGAATATCACCTTACACTTTTTAAGATGGCCATTATAACAAAACAAAACAAGAAATAAAGTGAGTAGGTCAGATGTGAAGAAACTGGAACCCTTGTAAACTGTTGGTGGGAATGTAAAATCGTGCCGTCATGATGGAAAACAGTAGGAAAGTTATTCTGAAAGTTGAAAATAGAGCTACCAGGGAATCTAGCAATCCAAGTTCTGGGTATATGTCCAAAAGAAGAGAAATCAAGATCTGGAAGAGTTATCTGCATTCCCATGTTCACTGCAGCATTACTCACAATAGCCAAGATATAGAAACAACCCAGATGCCCACTGACAGATGAATGGATAGAGAAACTGCAGTAAATATATATAATAAAATATTATTCAACCATAAAACGAAGGAAATCCTGCCATTTGTGATGACAGGGATGAACTCTGAGGCTACTGTGTGCCAAGTGAAAGAAGCCAGTAACAGAAGGACAAATACGGTATGATCCCACTTGTATGAGGTATCGATAAAAGTCAAACTCAGAGAAGCAGAGAATAAAATAGCGCCACAGGCTAGAAGAAGGAAAGAAATGGGGAGTTGTTGTTGAATGAGTATAGGGTCTCAATTATGTCAGATGAGTAAGTTTTAGAGATATGCTGTACGACACAGTGCCTATAGTTGACGATATGGTACTGTGCACTTCAGAATTTGTTAAGAAGCTAGATCTTACCACATACACACATAAAACAAAACAACATAATAAACAAAGCAACATAAGAAAACTTTGGGAGATGTTGGATGTGCCCATTACCCCGACTGTAGTGATAGTATCCAATGGGAGTTTAATCCAAACTCATCAAATTGTACACGTTAAATATGTGCAGTTCTTTGTTCACTATACCTTAATAAAGCTGTTTTTTATAAAAAGCTGGTCTGCCGTCTTCTATCTCTAGAATTCTGTCATCAACTCATTCCCTGTTTTCATAAATCCCAATGAGAAACTTCATACATTTTAAGTCTCGATCATCAGAAACCCACTTTTTAAAAAAGGTTTTGGTGTTCAACATTCTTTAGAAAACACTAACAATTGTCTTTGCTCCTGGACTCTTAAAGGAGCAATGAAAGAGGCTTTATCATACCTAAGACACAGCAACACTTCTTTTTTTTTTTTTTGAGACAGGGTCTCACTCTCTCACCCAGGCTGGAGTGCAGTGGCACAATCTCAGCTCACTGCAACCTCTGCCTCCCAGCTTCAAGCGATTCTCCTGCCTCAGCCTTACAAGTATCTGGGATTACAGGTGCACACCACTACCACCCAGCTAATTTTTGTATTTTTAGTAGAGATGGGGTTTCACCATGTTGACCAGGCTGGTCTTGAACTCCTGACCTCAAATGATCCACCTGCCTCGGCCTCCCAAAGTGCTGGAATTACAGGCGTGAGCCACCACACCAGGCCCAGCAACACTTCTTAAACACCTTCTTTATAACTCTATCCCTCCCACAGCCTCATGCCACCTATTAGTGGCTTTGGTCTTTTTTCCCTTCTGGTTGTATGGGACCCCCAAGGTCACACAGGTGTCTTATTCACATCTGCCTCTTGTTGGCATCCCTTTCTTGTCCAATATCATTTTAAATGACTGTGCTCTTGACTTGGAGCATGTCTCATCCTGGAGCGTAAATCCTCCATCACTCTTTTTTTCAAGAAGAGACACACTTGTCAAAAAACAAAAACTTCCTTCCCTTGAAGAACAAAATCATTGATTCTGTTTGCAAATTATACACATTTACAAAATCTTTAGCTCATAGCTCCAACAGAAATATCCAGCCCCTAAGTTCCCTTGTCCCTAAAACTGTAAATTTAATTTATCAGTAGCTGGCACCATTTCCCTCTCACCTTGAGTTGAAACCATGAAGCCCAGAGGACTCGTTTTTTATTGGCTCATGCTCCCAGCAGCCTGGCTGTCATGGGGAAGGTGCACTCTCTGTTTCCTTCTAGAAGGGATGCTGGAGCCTGTACGTTAGGTCCCCAATCCCTTATGGAAGGCTCTGAAACATTACCTCATTAGCCCTGCCTTAATGCATGACCAGGATTTTATGTCTTTTGCTGCATTTGAAAGACATAAAATCAATTAAAAATTTTTTTTGAAAATACAATGTAGGTCTCGTAAATAAGCAGAGATGCACAATTCCACAACACACAGCAACAGTTCTTGTTAAACCTCTCTCCCTCTGACAACATACAACAGCTCCTTCTTTTCCAATTCATTACCACCTCACTCATTCTTTTCCACTTACTAAGCATAACTTTGAATAGAGTCTACACTTTCCAAAATCCTGTGCCCTTAACAAGCCTTCTTGAAGCTCAAAATTCACTGCAGAGTATAGTCTGTGCCCTACACCAAAGGTGTCTTGCAAGAATAGCATCCTGTTGAATTCCATTGAAGAAACTTCTTCTACATAACAACCGGCATAACATTAGTGTTCACATTTCAAAAAACAACAATGAAAATGTAAATCCTGGTAACTTTGGTATCAAATCACAGTTATTTGTAAAGATGTCAAATAAATATAATGAATTAGAAGTTAAAATGACAGTTTAACCTGAAAATTTTCAAAGACAAAACACAGCAAAAGGAGTAGGAGATAAATGGTAAGGACCGCTAAGGTCATTCTCCTGCCCTGAATCGACCTTCCCCTGAGTGTCTGAGGACTGGGTTTCATTCCAACTCCCTTCAATTGCCTTGACATTCAACCACACTTCCTGAACCTTCTGCCTCATTCTTCTCTCTGCTCAATAAAACATTTTTGTATCCAAACCTAAAATAACTTCACTGATTTTTTTACAATTGTAAAACAACAAAAACTCATTATGAAAAGTCCAAATTATATAAAACTCTAAAAAGCAATAAAAATAATGGCACCGCTGAGAGATGACAATTATTAACATTTTGTTATACTCCATTCAAGACAATTGTAATGTGTATGTTTATAAATATAGATGCTTTTTTAACCTTAAAAAATTACCATGCTTATAATATATGTCATATATTTATCTTTATTTTCATTTTAAATTTTTTATACTATAATTTATTTGAAATTATAAAAGTAATACATATTCATTATAAGTGAGACAATTCAAAGATGTGAATAAAAAATTAATCATCTTCTTTGATCTTTTCCTTTTTTTGTCCCCTAACATTGTTAATATAACAATGTTATATTAACATAACCACATAACAACCAAAACATTGTTAATTTGTAAGATTTTTGAAAAACAGTATAAAAAAATGAAGCATAACATGTTTGGGTGTTGTTTTTCACCAGCAACAGCCTTCCTGAGAGAAGAAGAAAGATTAATTTGACGTGCTCACCTATATTCTACTGATTTTGCTGTATATATTTTAATGTTTATACTTAAAATAACCAACTTTTGATTTTGTCGATTTACTCCGTTGTTTCATTATTTCATTATTTATTAGTTCATTACTTTTTATTCTAGTCTATTATTTTCTTTCTTCTATTTGCTTTGTGTACAGTTTAATCTTTTTAAACTAGTTGCTTAGGGTAGGAAATTACGTGATCAATTTGAGATTTTTCTTAAAAAATAGTTCTTCAGTTATAAATTTCCCTTTAGTACTACTTTAGCTGTATCCAATGAGTTGTGGTATGCTGTTTTTGGATTTTATTCATTTCAATTGTTGATTTTCAAAGTATTTTCTAATTTTACATGTGATTTTTTTTCTGTGACCCATTGATTATTTAAGAGTATGATTGTTTTTTAAATTATCACAAATTTGTAAATTTCCTTCTGTTATTGCTTTCTAGTTTTATTTTATTTGAGTCAGAGAACATACATTTAGTTATTTCAATTCTTTAAACTTTATTAAGTTCTTTAAAAAATATTGCCTATTGTCCATTCTAGAGAATGTTCCATGTGCATTTAAGAATGTTTATTCTAAGCTGGGCATGGTAGCTCATGCCTGTAATCCCAGCACTTTGGGAGGCTGAGGCAGGCGGATCCCGAGGTCAGGAGATTGAGACCAGCCTGGCCAACACAGTGAAACCGCGTCTCTACTAAAAATACAAAAATTAGCCGGGCATGGTGGTGCACGCCTGTAGTCACAGCTACTCAGGAGGCTGAGACAGGAGAATCGCTTGAACCCGGGAGGCAGAAGTTGTAGTGAGCCAAGATCGCACCACTGCACTCCAGCCTGGGCAACAGAGCCAAGACTCCATCTCAAAAAAAAAAAAAAAAAAAAGAATGTTTATTCTACCATTTTTGGGTGAAGACTTCTCTAAAATTCTGTTAGGTCTAATTACTTTATAGTCTTATTTAAGTCTTCTATTTCTTTGTTGATATTCTTTCTCATTGTTTTTCCTAGTATTGAAAACCCATACTGAAGTCTCCAATTGTTTTTGACTTGTCTATTTCTCTCTTCAATTCTATCAATTTTAGCTTCATGTATTTTGCGACTTTGTTGTCAGGCATAGTACATATTTATATACACACACACATGTGTGCATATGTATATATACACATACATGTGAATATGTGTAATTTATATTATATATAATTACATATATTGTTGATAAAGTAATATTTATGTCTTCCATTTTGCTCTTTGATTTCTGAAGATCTTACTTTTTTCCCCTTTAATTCTCCATACTGTCTTCTTCATACCGTATAGATAATTCTAGTATACCACTTTAATTTCCTTACTTTTAAGCTGTGTATTTTTAGTAATTCTCTTAGTGGATGCTCTGGGAGTTACAATTAACATCCTAAAACAATCTAGGTAAGATTAATACCAAGTTAATTTCAATAGTATGTAAAAACTCACTTCTGTATAACTTCACTCCCCCTCCCATTTGTATTATTATCACACAAATAACATCTTGATTCATTATAAGCTCATCAACTCAGCTTTACAGTTATTGCTTTAAGTAGTTTTCTTTAAGTCAGATAAGACAATAAAAGTTTCAAACAAACATATATTTATACTGTTTTAAAAGTTTACCTATATATTTATCTTTCTTGGTTTTCCTTATTTGTTTATGAATTCAAGTTACTCTATTGCCTCTTCAACTCATCTTGTAAGATTTATTTTAGCATTTTTTTGGCAGGTCTGCTAATAACAAGTTTACTCATTTTGTTTATCTGAGAATGTCTTAATTTCTTCTTTGCTTTTGAATGACAGTTTTGCTGGATATTAAATTCCTGGTTGAAAGTCTTTTCCTTTCAGCACTTTAATTATGACATGCCACTGCCTTCTTTGCTCCATGATTTCTGTCATTAAATCAGTTATTAATCTTACTGAGAATCCCTTGTATATGATAGGCCACTTTTCTCTTATTGCTTTGAAGATTCTCTCTTTGTCTTTGTTAAAGGACCGTTTACCAATGGCATACTTAGAATAAATCTCTTTGAGTTTATCAAACTTGAATTGATTGGTAAATTTTTGGCCATCGTTTCTTCAAATATTCTTCCCTCCCCTTTTTTTCCTCTTCTTTTGGAAATTCTATTATAGATATGTTGGTATGCTTAAAGTGTACCAATGTCTCTATTCATTTCTCTTTACTCTTTATCCTTTTTGTTCCTCAGGATGTATACTCTCAAGTGACATTTGTTCAAGTTTCTTCTGCCAGCTCAATATGTTGTTGATTCCTTCTAGTAAATTCTTCATTTTAGTTCTTATACTTTCCAACTCGAGAGTTTCTATTTGGCTCTTTTTTAGAGTCCCTTCTCTACTGATAATCTCTCTTTGGAAAGACATCATGCTCACAGTTTACTTCAATTTTTTAGACATGTTTTTCTTTAATTCCTTGTACTTTTAAAATTTAAACTATTTATTCAGTATAACATCTGTGCTTCTTGAAGTACTATTTCTCTTGAGTACTTTTTTCTCTTTGTGTGCCAGATACCTTTTTCTTTGTAAGTCTTATTCTTTGTTGTTGTTGAAAACTAAACATTTGAAAGAATATGATATGGCAACTCTTGAATTCAGATTACGCTCCCCTACTTTTACAGTGTTTTTTACTTGTTGCTGTTTATTAGAATTGTTTAGTGACTTTCTCATACTAATTTTGTAAAATTTGTATTGTTTTGGTCTTGTGCAGCCTGTGAAATATCTACTTAGTTAGCTTAGTGATCAGCTAATGGATTGATGAATATGTCCTTACATTACTTGTGTCAATAATTCTCCAAATCTTTGCTAAGTGGCTCTGTGTGTAGATATAGGGAATGCCTACAACACTCAAGCAGACAGTTCCCAACTCTGCCCTAGCCGTCACTTTTGGCTTTCACAGTAAGGGAGGAGGCCACCCCTCATATTGTCTTATGCCCAATTTCTGCCTCCAAAGAAAGATAAAGTAAAAACTAAAAGGCAGAAATGAAATTGACAAGCAGACAGCCCGGCGCCACACCCTGGGCCTGGTAGTTAAAGATCGACCCCTGACCTATCAATTATGTTATCTATAGATTACAGACATTGTATAGAAAAGCACTGTGAAAATCTCTATCCTGTTTTGTTCCGATCTAATTACCGGTGCATGCAGCTCCTAGTCACGTACCCGCTGCTTGCTCTATCGATCATGACCCTCTCACGCGCACCCCCTTAGAGTTGTGAGCCCTTAAAAGGGACAGGAATTGCTCACTCAGAGAGCTCGGCTCTTGAGACAGGAGTCTTGCCGATGCCCCCGGCCGAATAAACCCCTTCCTTCTTTAACTCAGTGTCTGAGGAGTTTTGTCTGAGGAGTTTTGTAGCTGGTCCTGCTACAACAGAGTCTTAAAGGCAGACAGAAATAAGGGATTAGGGTGCTCTCAGGTCTTTATGGGTATGCATACAGCCCTGGGCATGTGCAAGCACATGAGTATGATGGTTAATTATATGCGTCAACTTTAATGGGCCACAGTATACCTAGATATCTGGTTAGACATTACTTCGGGGCATGTCTGTGAGCATGTTTTCAGAAGAGATTACCATTTGAATTTGTGAGCTGAGTAAAGCAGCTGGCCCTCCCCAACATGAGTGGCCATCAATTCATCCATCTAAAGACTGAATAGAACAAAAAGACAGAAGAAGTTTAAATTTTCATTCAACCTGATTGCCTGTGTTGAGACACTGATCTCCTGCACTTGGCACTTCTGATTCTCAGGACTTCAGACCTAGGCTAGGATCTACACTATTAGCTCTCCAGCTCTCATGCCTTCAAACTACACCACTAGCTTTTTTGGATCATCAGCTTACGTACGGCAGGTCATGGAACTTCTCAGCTTCCATTATCACATGAGCCAATACCTTATAATAAATCTGTCTATCTATCATTTATCTACCTATCTATCTACTTATCCATCTATCAATCATCTCTCCTGTTTCTCTAGAGACCCCTGACTAATATAGCAACCTTCTAAATGTCCAGGAGTATGCCAAAGCTTTCGAAGTCCCCTATAATTCCCCCATATTTCCTTTTAAGTTTTTGATTAGCCTTTTGTTAGCTCCAGCTATAATTCTGCCTCATGCAGCTGCAAAGGTAAACAATCGCCACTGGTTGTTTTCAACCAATGAACCGCAAATAAGGCCATTCACACAGAGTAGCTGAGTCAGGTCAGTTAAAGACAAGCCCCAAGAATGATGCTTTTCAAAGTACTGCCAGACAGTAAACGGAATGGTGTATTTGGGTAGCTCCAAGTCCATTCAGCCCTTTCCAGCAGCTGCTAGGTTACTGTTTTTCAAATGTACCATGGATCTTGGGAGGAGAGATGAGATTAGGTCAAATTGTAATGCCATAGAATTTATTGTTCCTACTAATATTTAGCCATTACTCTTAAATAAATTTCTTCAGATTGTTGCAAGCCTTTAATTAACTTCCAGAGCTCTGAAAAAGTTGATTTTGACAGTTTTAAACAGTATTCTTATTGCTTTTATAGAGAAAGGGGTTTTTTAAAGATTTTTCGGAAGTCTTCAGTCATTTTTTAATAAAAATTGTTAAGACTATATATAGTTTCTGAATACAATTTAGCTGTGTTCCAAATATTCTAGCATAGAGTGCTCTTCTACTTATTTTTAATTATTTAAATTAAAAAATTCATTATTGAACCAAAACTTGATTTGAGAAAGTGTTTCACATTTTCCATGTATATACTCTCTTGGTTTCTTTATTTTAGTTTTAATGTATTAAAGAAAAAGTGTGACCTTGTCAGTCTTGACTTTTGCATGTTTATTAAAGTTTTCTTTGTGGATACTTCCATGAATGATTTTTGTAAATGTTTCTGGAAATAAAATTATATATTTTTTGTGCATGGGTACAAAGTTATATTAGTCAAAGACTATATGTTGCTGACCTACATAATCTGTAAACTTTCCATTTAATTCATATTTAAAATTTTTACCCTTTTAGGAACTTTTCCTTACGGTTAGCACATAAACATAATGTTTTATTTGCATGGGACATTTTCTTTCACAAAATATCTCCCATTTTCATATTTACTGTTTTGGCCCTTGGTAATTCTTCTGCATCTAATGTTCTTCTAATATTACTATTATTATTCTTGCTTTCCTTACTTGTATTTGTCTAGTGTATATTTTCCTAACTCTACATTTTCAATTTTTATTTTATCATTTTCTCTTGCCAATTCAACACTTTAACTTATTTTCCTGGTAGATTTTATGAACCCACAAAATCTGAGACAGGTAATTTAGAAAGTGTATTTTACCAAGGTTGAGGACGCCCCGTGGCACAGCCTCAGGAAGTCCTGATGACATGTGCCCAAGGCAGTTGGGGTGCAGCATTTTAGGGAGACATAAGACATCAATCGAGTACATTTAAGACATACATTGGTTTGGTCCAGAAAGGTAGGCAACTCAAAGTGGAGGTGGGGGTTCCAGGCTATAGGTAAATTTAAACATTTTCTGGTTGACGATTGGTTGAGTTTGTCTGAAGACCTGGGATCAATAGAAAGGAATGTTTGGGTTGAGATAAGAGGCTGTGGAGACCAAAGTTTTATCATGCAGATGAAGCTTTTAGCTAGCAGGCTTCTGAGAGAGCAGAGAGAAATGTTTCTTATCAGACTGAAAAGTCTGCGTTGATGTTAGTGCCTGAGAGGTATAATGAGGCATGTTTCCACCTCCTCTTCCCTTCATGGCCTGAACCAGTCTTTCAGGTTAAATTTTAAGAGCCCTGGCTGAGGAGAAAGTTTGTTCAGATGGTTGGGGGGCCTTAGAATTTTATTTCTGGTTTACAATTTAGAGTTCTTTCATATCATTTGTTTTCAATAATGTCATCAGAGAGATATATGTTATGGAACAACAATAACAAATATTTAGCTCTTCCTTAGATATTACGTATACGAATGAGTCTTATTCTAGATTAGCGGTAGGCCTTGAAAGAAATTTATGAAAAGGTAGATTTTTAAATTTGGTTTATTTTCCCTTTATCCTCATAAGGCACCAAAGAATATCAAGTCTCTGTACTTGATATGTCAAGATTTTTAAATAAAATAAAATCTAATGCTAAGTTTAAAATAACCAGCTGAGTGTGATGGTTCATGCACATAATCCCAGCACTTTGGGATTCTGAGACAGAAGGATTGCTTGAGGCCAGGAGTTCAAGACCAGCGTGGTCAACACAGCAAGACCCTATCTCTACAAAAATATTAAAAAATTAGCCAGGAGTCGTGGTGCATGCCTGTAGTCCCAGCTACTTGGGAGGCTGAGGCAGGAGGATCACTTGAGCCCAGGAGCTCGAGGTTACACTGAGCTACAGTTGTGCCAGTCACTCCAGCCTGTGCGACCAAGTGATACCCTGTCTCTAAAATTAAAAATTAATAAATAAAATAAAATCATGCTAATTGGAATTGAACTGCAAATCCAAGAAGTTAGTGGCCTTCTGCAAAAGAATGAATGGCAAAGCTTTTTATTAAGTGCATAGAAGATATTATAAACCACAATTTCTATCCCAACTTGGACAGTTTATTTAAGGTCTGAAAAGTAATTTGTTAAAAATGTTATCTATGACCTCATGCTAATTATTTTATTAATATTATTTCATTTAATTCTCAAAGAAAGTGATAATACATGGGAAGTGTATGGACTGGAATTTGGTATATATTAAATATGCAATAAGTGCGAGCCAGTTTTATTGTGAATATGAATAACTTATGATTAAGAAGTGCTTATGGATTTGTTATCATCACCTGTAAAGAGGTTAAGTGACATGATTGACCAGATCTACTTGGTTAGTTAGTAGCAGAGACAGAATTCAAGTTTTTGTAAATTTTATTCCAAACCCAATTCTTTTCCTTCTTTGTCTTACTGCTTTAAAAGGAAAAAAATAAACAAATATAAAATGTTGAAAAGTCATTGAGGCCCATTTTACAACATAACTACTGCAACTTCCAAAGAATCCTCAAATATAAAGAAAAATACTTCTGATTGTTTATTTTCATTTTCTAAATACATCTTACTCATTTTTCTAATGCCAAATGTTAATTTACTAGTTCCCAGTAGTCATGACAGGACTTCTGTGTAGCGGGTGGTATTTAGACAAGTCTCAGGACCCTATTTGACAATGAACTCTGCCCAGATAGAAGAAAGTTCTATCACCATGAAAGGAAGCACTCACCCCTGGGAAGGGCAGTTGCCAGTTCCACCACTTCCAGCACTGCCCCTGCTGTTATGGAGCCATCAGAGAAGATGCTGCTTCAAAAAACAAACTCATTTGCAAACCTTTCATAATCCTTCCTGGGGATCTCAAGGTCACACTAACTTCTATCCTTCAAAAGCCTTTCTCATCTGCATTGCAGAGACTTAAACTGATCTCCAAATATTCTGCTATATCCTCTTTAACAGTGTCCTTTCTCTTCTTCCTCTCTCTGCCTGCCAACCTCGCCTAATTCTCTTACATATTCCACAAGGCCACATTCAATTAGCCTTGTTCTATGACAATTTCTCTAAACCATTCAGTCTACATCAACCCTTGAAATGCGAACAAATCATATAATATTTTGTATTCTTTAACGTCAAATTAAGTGTAATGTCCTGCAAGAACAGGAACTGTCATATGCATGTTATCACCCAGCGAGAACTAATATAGTTCCAGACACATAATAGTTACCAAAATAAAATTCCTTAAGTTAAAAAAAACTTTGAGCCAGGCACAGTGGCTCACACCGGTAATCCCAGCGCTTTGAGAGGCTGAAGTGGGTGGATCACCTGAGGTCAGGAGTTCAAGACCAGCGTGATCAACATGGTGAAACCCTGTCTCTACTAAATAGAAAAAATTAGCTGGGCATGATGGCGCATTCCTGACATCCCAGCTACTTGGGAGGCTGAGGCAGGAGAATTGCTTGAATCCAGGAGGCAGGTTGCAGTGAGTCAAGATTGTGCCATTGCTCTCCAGCCTGGGTAACAAGAACAAAACCCTGTCTAAAAAAAAAAAACAACAAAAAACAAACAAACAAAAAATAAACAAACAAAAACTTTAGAATAGTATGATGGCTACATTTATATATGTCATTTAAATATGTTCTGTGGATCTAGCGTGGCTGTATTCCATGAACAATTTTTGGTGTTTTTGTACTGTAGTCATGTAATTATAAAATGCAATAAAAAACAACCCAAAAACCCCCCCTAAATCCATGTAAACATTTTTAACCTTACACAAATTTAAGAGTTTAAACATTATTAAATGTCAAACCAGAGCTTTGCCTCCTCATTAATCAAAGTGAAAAGGAGAATTAAGACCATTGTTCCTAATTATACCAAAATTTCAACCTGCTTTTCTACTAATTTTATATTGCTTAAAAAATATGATATGGTATAAACTAAAATAAGCATGTAATAAATTTTACTAGTAATTATTTTAGCCAAACATTTACATCAAAACATAAAGATAGATATTTTAACAGAAAATACATCACTTATATATCTTCAAAATCACTGTAATTTAATCCAAATTTCATTCCTAAATTTTAACATATCTCTGGCTTCAGAATGACTTTAATCCATTGGTTTGTAGTCTCAAATCTCTCTTCCTAGAGACAAGTCTTGAACTCTAGAACTTCAGTTCTTTAGGAAAACTTAACATAAAAATCCCATTTTCACTGGCTCATTGTGAACTTTGCTATTTCTGACTTTAAAATGTCTTTATCTCTTTGCTGATAGTTGACTATAAAAATGCTTCATTTCTGATATCATATCAAATTATTTTTCTTGTCCTTGCAAGAAGAAGAATGTCTACTGTTGGTGTGCTGCCAACATCACTTCTTCTAGTTCACTTTCCACTGTGTGTTTGTTTATATACATAGAAACATATATAACCCATTTGACGAGGTCTCTCTTATTTTAAGGAGACTTGATTTCTTTTCATATTTATTTACTTTCTAAATATAATGAAACTTTTCAACAAAACTATAAAATGGTTTTGTTTTCATGAATTCTACCCTTCCAATGTTCAAATATTTCGGAAAATGCTTGAACCTGTTGTGCCTCCAGTTCTCTCATTTAATCTGATGCACAAAAAGTTTCTGAACACCTGCTATGTGCCAGTTACTGGTAAGAGACTATTTGTTTTAAGTGCACATGCTTTCACAGAGAAGAGGTTGGCATATTCTATTCTAGATGTTTCCAATGCCTTTGTCATTGTGGAAATACCATTTGTTCTCAGCCCAAAAAAGTACTGTGAAAATGTCTCAGCCAAAATATAAAAATCAAAGGTGTTTTGTTTCCCTAAATACTCTCTAGTCTGTGGAGATCTGAACACCTTATCTTTCATGTGCTGCTGCTGCTGCCAGGCAGTTTTAGGTGAGTTGACCATCCTTGCTTGCCCACACTTAATTTCTATCTTCTGAAAATGCAGTGTCATTATATGCTTGGCCTGACCAATGAGTTAATGACTAGGGATCACTTTGAGTGACAGCATTCCAGTTCTACAGCAATAATACATCTGACTCAAAGGAGAAACCACTGATCATTAGGATCAGCAATTAGAAATCTATACGTAATTGCCCATCAAAGACTGGCCCTTGAACTCACTTTTTGGGTGCATTCTGCAGGTTATATATGGAACCTAGAAGTGAAAAAATAGCAAATGGCATGAAAAGATGCGCTTTAAGTAGCACTCTGATGCTGTGACAATCTGGGAGCCATCTGTACTGAGAGATACAGTGTTCCTTTGTTTAAAAAGAAGATTTCTTTTATTAATAATCTCTCACACCAGCATACCCATAAAAGAAAAGTCATCCCAATCTCACATGGTCTGGCGAGGAGGGAGCTGGTAAAATACTAGCATGAGCACCTAATGCCTTAGCAGACTAGAGATATTACCAAAATATTGAGTAAAGAGTCTTCAGATTATGAAGGGATTAAATATCTATTATAAATTTTAAAGTAAATTTAAAATTAATCAACAAATCTTAGATTAACTGTAAAAAATATGAACCATCACATGGAACAAATAATCTTTTAGTCTATATATTAAATTCTACTGAAGTTATCCATGAAGTTATGTTTAGGACTCAGGAGTCAAAAGCTGAATTTTTAATAATGAATATTATCAATCAAAAAGTGAAAGTAATATTGACATAAGGTGAAGAAGAATCAAGGGAGTTCTGAGAAAGTATGTTTCAATAAAACAATTACAAAACATTCCTGATCATTTTATCTGTGGTCATTCCTTTAGAACATATATAATATGTATTTTTATCACGTATGTTTCTGGTGGGCCATGATGAGAAATGCAGAGATGTTAAGCATCACCTTAAATCTACACAAACACTTGAAAAAGTGTTGAGATAGTCGCATTTGAGAGTGTGCCGAAAGGAAGACAGCTTCTAAGGGACCAGATATTCTTAGTGGAAATGCATATCCACCTCAGACAGATGGCCTTTGCTATACCTATATATTTGTCTCTCATGGTTTAATTTTTTAATGGACTTTATCACCATTCAGCCACATCAGTACTCATCTGTTGTTAATCATCATGCAGACACAAATGTACTTTGACTTCAGTGAGTGTTTTTCATCTGTGTAAAAAACAACACAAAGGAACAAGGAGAGTGAAGGACAAAGACTGTGGCAAATATTTAGAAGGAAGAAATATATGGATTTTTATGAAGTGAAAAAAAAATCCACGTTATTTAGAGTTATCTTGTACTTGTGTTAGGAAAAAGATATTTAAAAATTGGCATATAGTTTCCTGTGGCATTATTTGTGACATTATTTGTCACATATCTGAGATGTAATGTGCTATTACTGAAGTATTCTTCCTATCTTCCATTCTGTAGAAAAACCTGAGATACAAGCAAAATAGGACAATATCTGGTGTCTTGGTCCATTTGTGTTGCTATAAAGGAACACCTGAGGCTGGGTAATTTATAAAGAAAAGAGGTTTATTTGGTTCCTGGCTCTGCAGGCTACAGAAGAGGAATGGCACCAGCACCTGCTTTTGTTGAGGGTTCTGGAAGCTTCCACTCACGGTGGAAGGCAAAGGGGGGCAGGTGTCATGTGGCAAGAGAATAAGGAAGTGAGAAAGGAGGTGTCCACCTCTTTTCAATAAGCAGTTCTCACAGGAACTAAGACTGAGAACTCACTCGCTCCTGCAAGAATAGGAGAATGGCACCAAGCCATGAGGAATCTGCCCCCATGACCCAAACACCTCCCACTAGGCCTCACCTCCAACACTGGGGATCAATTTCAACATAAGACCTGGTGTGGCCAAACAAATTATATCCAAAATATAGCATCTAGTTTGTTTGGTTAATTTTTAAATTGAATCAAAGTAATAAATTATTAAAAATGGTTTGTGCATGTCTCAGAATACATTGCAAGTTAATATCTATTAATATAAACTCATTTGGAAACCATTTGATGTAGGCTAGAGCTGATTTGTGTATGTGTGTGTTTACTATAGATGGAGCCTGCTAAGTGAATATCTGTGTCATCAGTTTTATATGTTATACCCATGTTTCATTATATAAGAACTCCAATTTTGGTTTCTTTAAAGGATGTCTGGAATTTAAAGACAGATTCAAAGCTATCTGAATGCAAAATTGTTCTAGATTTGTAATTTTTTCTTCAATCATTCTTATTTGCTAACATTTTTAAACAAATTATCTTGATCAAGTTATTTAAGTCATTGTTCAATGCCATTGAACTTGGTCTTTTGAAAATGAATTTCTTTCCACACTCATATTCCATTGCTTTGAATAATTCTTATTTAAATTATGTAATTAAAATAACAAATATACCTGACACAAACAACCTTGGAAGTAAAAAGCAAAAGCTATCTTGTGGTTTGAAAAGAAGTGTGTAGCCTATGAGAACTTAAGCATTTAGTGTTCTATGGGCATCTGTGAAGGAACAGAGTGTCATTCTGGAGGTTAGATAAATTGAAGGTCACTTAAGAGCTCTTTCTATCATGTTTAAAATAACATCTGAAGATCAAGACATTTTAAAATGTGGTCAGTGGGGCCAACTTTGTAAAACACAATATTTTATTCCCTCTCGCCTGAGAAAAGAAAATTATTTTCTTTGAAAGCTTTATCATTGCCTTGAAAACAGGATAACCTTTACTAATTAGCAGCTAATAACAATGAGTGATAAAAATCAAACATTATTGAAAGAAGATAGGACGAAGTGACTTCGCATGCAAATTTAGGAGATAATTCATTAAAGGTAATCTTGAATGGATGACACACAACTTACTACTAAATGTCAATTATATTGTCTTTATAGTATAAAATATATAGATTTATCTAACAGCAGTGCTTACTCTTCATCAAACTAGAAATTTTTATTATTGGGAAAGCCTGTCCCAAATAAAAAGGGAGGTTGATATAATGATGTACAAAAAAATTGCTAACATGTTTCCACCAGTTTAGGCACAAATGAAGAAAACTGAAGAGTCCTAGAGTGTTGATGAAGCATAAATTGGTAATTCTTCCTCAAAGAAAACCTAGGAACATTCATTAAAAACTTTAAAAATATATATACATATTTACTCGGCACTTCTGATTCTAAAAAATCCTCTTGAATAAACTATTACAAATATGCAAAATGATATGTGTGTTACAAAATTCTCAACAGGATTGCATAGGAAGGAAGGAAGGAAGGAAGGAAAACAGGAAGCAACCTAGTAGTCCCTACTGACTTCTAAAAGGGTCAAGCTTATTTATGATTATAAAAGATTAGTTGAATTATGCTGGTTATATTTCTGGAACTGAATGACAATGAAAATGGTTGTGGTTCAATCATTTCCACTAGCAGCACCATAACTAGACTATTTCAGCTATGTGCCCACTCACCTGTGTAGTTTCTACACACAAAAAAAGCTTACCATTCCATCTTGGTTTCTGCATAATTTTTGAGTTGCCAATATCCTTCTAGTCAACTCCATTCTGTATATTATCAGAGTCAGAATTGGTTTCCCTTGCTTGCAGCAAAAACTTTAAATGGTACACATTATTATTCTTCTACAATAAGATTAGCATAGTATTCTGTCACCCAAGAATGTATCAGTGTGCTTTTTAACCATTCCTTTATTATCGAGCGTCTTAACTCATTCCTTTCCTCCTCCTTCCTTTCATTGTTGCTAGCAACAATGTATTTCTTGATTTGGACACTGGTTATACACTTCGTTCAATTTACAAAACTTCATCAAGTATACTCATGCATCCTTTCCATTTTTTCACTATAGAGATTACACTTGAAAACAGATTCTACTTATAACTACAGACAATCTAATATCTCAAATTTTTTAAACTGGCAGAAAGTCTGAACTGTCTAGATCGATAGTCCCTCTTCCTTTTGCTCTCTTGATATTCCATTCAAATATTGTGAAACTTTGAAATAATGTTAACTTTAACCACCATAAATACTACCAATATAAGATAAGTAGAAACATAATGGAAAGAGAAGATAAAATATTTGTCACAATATAAGAAAATAAAAAAATAAAATTTGCGTAGACTACATTCCTTATTTCTAAATTGGTCCTGCCTATTACTCATCCTACGTCCACCTGATATTCAGCCAGTGCTCAATTGGTCAGAGTTCTTTGTCAAGTAGACCTATACAAACCAAATTATTAATAACTGAGCTTAGTTCTTGGTGATTCTCCCAACATAGAATAGAGGTTTCAATAACTTTATCACTGTCCATAGTAGTTTCAAGGACACTCTCCAAATGGTTGGATCAGATAATGTCACATTCATTCAGGAACAGTTTGGATTATGCTCAAGAATTGAGAATCTAGCAGAGCCCAGAAGTAAAACAAGAGGCACTGCACACAGAATAGTTACTTAACCAATGATGATAGGGCTTTGCTTCCAAATTCTAGATGTTTCTTTTGTGATTCATCTAACAGAGCTTACTATAGATTCCATAAAGCACTCTGAACCACCACTGAAATTCTAGTTATCATTGTATTTACTGAGCCCAAAGGGCCAATTTATGTAACTATTTGTACAGGTAGAGAGATATGTGTGTCTTAGGTTCCATCTCAAACTTGCAGGTTTTCAAGCCACTTTGTAAATTTATGTAGCAGCACATCAAACTCTCCAATACTGCCAACAAAATCCAAAGACAGCAACTGAGAGATGTGTCTTCTGTCTTCTTAAGGTAGGGAATGCAAAGTGAGCCTACTGCTTCTTCCCTTGAAAAGGGAAATTTATTCCAATATGCTGCAATTCTCGGGATTCTCAGACATTTCACAGAGGTGGTAGACGTTAGTGTATTCATTTTTTTTCTATCTTGCTTCCAATGGAAAACATGTGTCTCAGCAGAGTGCCTAATGTTCCTGCTATTTCCAGTTTCCTACAAATTATCAGCATGATTTTGCCCATTTAATGTAAAAGTGTGATGTCGTGTCATACAATGAGTATATTTTAGCATAGATCTCTAGAGACAATTTATCCATGAAACAAGAAAGTAAGGAATACTACTGTTCCTCTCAGATGAAAGTAAACTTCTGATGTTTTCTGACTATAAGAATGAATAGGGGAAAAGCATTTGCCAGATGGAAAAGTGCATGCCAGGTGCAAGGGCCTTGTGGATTGTGTTATCATTGGTGTTTTACAAATATTTGTTGTTTGAAGTCTCCTTGTGGAGGGGTTATTCTTTATTCACACCCTGTTGAACTCAGACACAGCCACGTGCTTTCTTGGACCACATGAAGTCTGAAGAGATGTGAAGTTTGTTACTTCTGAGCAGAATGGGGTTTCGCAAGTTCTCTTTTCACTAATGCCTTGCTTATGGAAGCACAAGTAAGGATGCTTCATGAGCCTGGGTTCCCTGAAAGGGTATGTTCTACACATGTGGGAGGGAAGAAAGGAGAGAGGAAGTATTTCTTTCTTTCCTTTTTTTTTTTTTTTTTTTTACTTAGAGATGGAGTCTCGCTCTGTCACCCAGGCTGGAGTGCAGTGGTGCAATCTTGGCTCACTGCAAGCTCCGTCTCCTGGGTTCACCCGCCATTCTTCTGCCGCAGCCTCCCGAGTAGCTAAGACTACAGGCGCCCGCCACCACGCCCAGCTAATTTTTGTATTTTTAGTAGAGATGGGGTTTCACCGTGCCAGGATGGTCTCAATCTGACCTCACGATCTGCCCACCTCAGCCTCCCAGAGTGCTGGGATTACAGGTGTGAGCCACCGTGCCCGGCCAAGAGGAAGTATTTGTATAGCAAGGTCAGAGGAGTTGCTTCCTTGACTAAGGAAAACTCAGGGTGTTTATGTGTGGGATCTTTCAGAGGGGTTTACAGATTTAAGATGCTATGAATACTCTAAATACTCTCAGATTTCCCTAATTTAATCATTGAGATCCCACTCTATGCACTCTCAACCAATAACATAATTTTCACATGAGAGACTAGACAAGGCTTTTAATTCAATTGATGTTGCAACTTAGCAACCCACAAATCAACCCCAGAATGCCTTCTGATGATCCTAAATCTGGGGCAACATAAGCTAAGAATCATGCAGCATGGTGTCAAAAGTTAATGAGATTCAGTCTACACTTTGAAATGAGAATTTAGGTTGTGAGCTTCCTGGCTTTCAGTTACCATTATGTTATTAGAAGCAGCCATTGTACTATGGTGCCCTAGAATTTCTTCTAAAGGTTCCCTTTTTGTACAGCAGCAGTTAATCAGTTTCTCTCTGGCTGGCCAAAGTGAGCAAACTTCCCGGTGACCGCAGGAACAGCCTAATTTGCTATGTTGCCATAAAGTTTCTCAAGCTGCTAAATATACATTCTAGCATAGGAAGAGAAATTTCATTTCATATCTATCGCTAGTAATCTATTTTCTGGCACCAATTTCTCTACCAGTAGAGTTCTGTCATAGTGGTAACACAAACTATGGTTAATTTACAAAAAAACAGAATTCACTGGAAAGATACTAGTATTTTAAATGGGAAAGATGAAAAACCAAGATAGCTATAGAGGGCCAGCCATCAGACCTACAGGAATGGTATCGTAACAGGAACACCCTAGTCTGAGCATTGCCACTGGTAAACTCAATTGTTTGTCACTGTCAATCTGCTAAAATTCAATGGAAGAAGGATTCAGTGGCCTAGTTCGGATTATTGGCTTGACAAGAAAAGGGCAAAGCCATTCATTGAAGGACAGTTTCACCAAACAAGACTGTATACCAAAGAAAAAGTACTTCCTCAGGAGGAATTATTGATGCTTTTAGGAAAGAAAGTTGGAAAGCTAAAAATATAAAATAAAACAAAATAACAAAACGGCATAATTTTCATGATATAGTGTTAAGTGTATATAATATATATTACATATAGTAAGTAATATATATCATATTAACCATTATCACTAGGTGGTAGGATTACCTGTGCTTTTATAGTTTTCCTTTGTACTTTTTGAATTTCACAAATTTTCTATTTAAAAAGTTTATATATGCTAAAAAATAGGAAAACACAGTAAATGTAAAAATAAAAGAAATCGAAGGGCTATTTGGAAGTGGCACTACATTACTAAGGAGTTGATCATATATCAGTTGTGCATATTTCAGACTATTTGCTTCCCCTCTTCTCCTTTTTGCTAAACACTAATATTTCTGTTTCTCAGCTTTAGTACAAAATGGGGAAAATGTCATGGGAAAGGAAAATAATTGACAATAAAAATAATATTAGCTAATTTTACCAAGTACTCATGCATCCCCATGTCACTTCTTAGATTCTACAAAAAGAGTGTTTGGAACCTGTTTCATCAAAACGCAGGTTCAATTCTGTGAAATAACACAGCACATCACAAAGCGTTTTCACAGATAGCTTGTTTCACAGACAGCTTGGCACCATCAACGTTTCCGAACCTATTGAGGACTTATAAGGAAATATGAATATCCAGGCCTAAAAACTAGAGACAAGCTATCTGTGAAAATGCTTTGTGATGTGTTATTTTTTATCACAGAATTGAACCTGCATTTTCATGAAACAGGTTCCAAACACTCTTTTTGTAGAATCTAAGAAGTGACATTCTGCCAGCATAGGCACGCATAAGTACTTGCCAGGAGTGACATACTGCCCAGCGTTTTGCTAAATACTTCATATGATATAGGTATTATAATTATTGCCATTTTACAGATGAAATACTTGAGGTTCAGAGATGTTACGTTCTTACTTAACACAGCTCACCTGAGCAAATAAATGAAATGAAATTCAAATGTGCATTTCTTTCAGCTTTTTTAGGAATTCTGAGGAAGTTTAGGAAATGTTTGCGCATACTGTTTGTTCATGAACCTTCATGAACACATTTGGAATGATTTTAAGAGATACAGGAATGAGTTCTGAGCAATAAGAATTTTTTACATTTATGCTTCAAATACTTAGTGAGCATTCACTTTGTGCCAAGATGTCTAAGGTTTGTGCTGTTGAAGACATAAATGCTGTCTCTCTAGGTCAATCCATAGCTGTGATTTTATAAATTCTGTGTGAGGTTTTGATTCAATTCACGTTTTAAAAATTTGTCTCATCTGATAACTCAAGACTTTCCATAAACTGGCAGTAAATAAAGCAAATAAATTATTGAGTGTAGGGAATAAATTTAGAATAGAGAGAAAAGTATCTCTGGAAGGCCATACAAGATATGTTAGTGCTCATAACTTTGCAGGGTTCAATATCAAAGTCAAGAATAAATGCTTGAATTGATGGATACCTCATTTCCTCTGATTTGATTAATTCACATTGTATGCCTGTATCAAAATATCTCATAAACCCCTTAAATGTATACACCTACTATGTATCCATAAAAACAAAAACAATTAAATAAAAAGTCAATGTCCATCTATAGTCATAATACTCCAGCCACAGCCACAATATTGCTGAAATTTTTCCACATCAATAGCAACTTACAAGGATGAACTTTAAATCTGATTTCTCTTGGTCAGATTGCCATTTCCCAAACACTTCCTCACTTCTCTATATTTTATAAGATTTATCCAATTTCCACTAGAATAAAAATTTCAGTGAATTTGTAAAGTGATATTTCCATTCATATCTTGGGATTTCACTTACCTCTGACATTTAGAAGTTCCTTTGGTAAGAATTCATAAACAAGGCAATGGCTTACATTCTTAATCCAGGAAGGAAGGAAGAGGAAATACTTCACTGGAGTAAATGTCATTACCTTTATGCTAAAATATGTTATATGGAACTTAATTTTGTGGAATCCTGTCATTTTCAAAATGCTTTCCTGTATTTCAGAAACAACAACAAATAAGCGTTGAGAACTTACCAAGTGGCAGGCACTGTAGGAGATGCCAACTGTTCATCATGGACCTTCATGTTGCAGCTTGGGCCCATCTTCCCCATCTCATCTCCCAGGACTCAAACTAGCAAATCTCCTTAGGCTACTGTGAGGAGGATGGATTAAAATGGGGAAAAGGCTGAAGCAGGGGGAATTAATTAGGAACCTGTTACAGTATAATTAGGGACAAATTATGATGGTCTGCATCATTGTAGTAGTAGTAGTAAAAATTAATTAAAATGGACAGATTCAAGAAATATTTAGGCAATAGATTGACAGCACTGGGTGGTTAATTGACCTTATTTTGAGAGTTTGTGTGAAAGATGGGAATAAGTGAACGATAAATCTCAGGATTTTGTTTGTTTCTAATGTCTACAAATGGGGAGAAAGTTGTGGGACTCCTTGTTCATCTTCAGGCATCTTTAGGCATAAGATTCAGTTACCTGAAGCATAGTCAAGAGGAGATGCTTAGTTAGCACTTAGGTTATAATACAGAAGAGAAATTTTGTTGGATATACAAGTTTGTGAGCAATTAACATGTAATAAAAGTAACCAGATCACCCCAGGGGAGCTTTTATATTGATAGTGAGGGGAGCCCAGAAAAGACCCCAGTGCCTATAAAAGTGCCTGGCAGATACATAGTTGTCAATTGATAAGTGCATGAAATAATTAACTAATGAAAGAATGAACAGACATAGAGATACCTCTTTCTGATGAACAGATAGATGTATAAACCAGTAAGATCATTCTATGTGCTATAAATGAAGTAATATTAAATGTTTCATTCTATGTGCTATGGAAAGAAGTAATATTAAATGTTTCCTACAATAATTCATTAAATTTTACAATAAACACAATAAATTAGACATGGAAAATTATTTTCTTATTTTAATCATGATATGATTGAGGCCAAGAAGGGTACTTTTGTCCAAAGCATCAAGGGTGCAATTTGTAATGATAGAATCAGGACTATAACCAATTTTCTTTTTTAATATTAAATGATAATTTATTGAAAAAAAGGTTATATTTATTTTTTTGGAATGCAGAATTCAGAAAAGATAACAGAGGTAGAAGAGGGAAAATTTGCTCTTTGGACTATAATGCAAAATAACAAGAGTCAGAAGGCAGCCCTGCAAATCGAAACCATTTGAAATAAGTGAAAGAAGATTAGAGAACCGTGGTCCTTTCTGCCTTTCTCAAAGCCAGCACCAGTATTTCTTTTCAAAGTCACCCTAGAGAGGGCCCAGAATGGACTCTTATCCTGCTAAATTTTCAGAGTCCTGGGTCTGTCCCTAGAGAGGGCCCAAAATGGACTCTTTGCTGTTGGATTTTCAGAGTCATGGGTCTGTCTCTCATCAGTGCTAAAACAGCAAGATTTGTATTAATCATCCTGTTCCCCAAATGCATAACCTGAGATTCTTTTCAGATATTCAGGTTGTTGATGGAAATTTTGTTTGGAATTTAAACTGCATAACAAATTGAGGCCCCTTTGCCCTCATAAATCAGAAAGCTTCTTTAGAGGGGTTTTAAGTCTCTAAGTTGCATTAGTGGGTGTTTTAACATGTCCAAAAGGCAAATATTCTTAATGCAAGTAGCTCCTCTTTTTTCATCCATCAACTAGAAACTCATTCCCACACATTTCTTGTGCATGTGTGTGCTTCTATCTACTTGAGAAATGTGGGATTAGGTAGAGGGGAGGAGCGATACATTTTTAGTCTAATCAATCAGTCTTTCCAGGGATCTCTATGGGGTTAGGTTACTTAGGACTTCAGGGCATATTTTCTTCTGATCCACATGGACATTGCACTTTTTAGAGAATAAGAGGGACTGATGCTTTCATCACAATGACTGTCATTCTGAAGTCACTGTGTTTTCAGGATAGAGCATAGGATTGCCTTTCAGAAATCCCAAGAGAGGGAATCTCAAGTGAAAAAGTGAAAGTAATGGCAAATTCACAATAAACTACCGCCAAGGGAATAGAATCTTTTAAGTGGAATTCTGTCATCAACACTATTCTGTTCTGGTGTTAATGACAGAATAAAATTCTATTTCCTTGGAACAGAATAACCAACACTTTCAGGCTATCTAGGGGAATATCCGTTGTCTACTACACCCAGATTTTAGGACTTGGAGTTATCTCAGTCTCTTCCCTTTCTAATGAAAATCTCTACTCTTGATGCAGCTGTTACTATTCATGGCAGCCCTTCTATTCCCAAGGCCACTGCTTTATTTCAGGCATTTTCAGTGTCCCTGGCTGGAGAAAAGGGGCTCAGATTTAGGGAATCACTCTCAATTATACAGAACTAAACATCATGAGATACTTATTAAGAAATCTTAGCAATGGAGGTATTTCTTAAGAACATCAATTTCTTCTATTATCTAGTTATTGGTGCAACCAGCAGGTCTCTGGTTTGTTATTTCATATTCTAGTTTGACCTACTTTCCAGAAGAAGGGTTTCCTTAAGTAAGTGATAAAAGCCAGTTGTCTTTATAGATACATCCTGAGGGTACCTTAATGTAGACTCTTCCAATTTATTCAAGACTATTGTCATTTGATTCCTACTGACAACTTCAAAGCCTAATAGATACAGGGTAAACTGATAAAATTGAGTTCCTTAGACTGCAAATCAGTGAGACAAAAACTGAACCTTGGGCTTTCATCTAGGAGTATCAAATCCCTTGCTGCAAAGACAATGAACTTCAGACCCAGACAGTCATAGTTTGAGCTCTCTATTCTCTCTCTCTCTCTTTATTTTTTTATTTTTTATTTTTTTGAGATGGAGTCTCACTCTATTGCCAAGGCTGGAGTGCAGTGGCGTGGTCTCGGCTCACTGCAACCTTCACCTCCCAGGTTCAAGCAATTCTTCTGCCGAGTAGCTAGGATTACAGGTGCCTGCCACCACGTTCAGCTAATTGTTTGTATTTTTAGTACAGACGGGGTTTCACCATGTTGGCTAGGCTGATCTCGAACTCCTGACCTCATGATCTGCCTGCCTTGGCCTCCCAAAGCACTGGGATTACAGGCATGAGCCACCACGCCCGGCCTGAGCTCTCTATTCTCTAATTGGTAGAAAGTTATTTAATCTGATTCTGAATGTCCTCATTTAACAAATGAGTATAATAATACTCACATTTAAAGTTTTATATAATTATTTGTGATAACATATATGAACTATCCGATGCATAGTAAATGCTATTGATATCTTAATTGTAATATTATTATTAATCTATCAAGGATTTGTAGTTACTATTACTACAACTAGTATTGTGACTGTTATTACAACTACTGTCACTGCTATCACTGCAATTACTCTTATGACTGCTAATACTACAAGGACCAATCTATTTTATAGGGTTGTTATGAAAGTGGCTGTATGTAAAGCTCATACATAAGTGCTTGGCACATTGTATGCACTCAATAACTGTTCCTCTTCCTCCAAGTGACTAGATATACTCATATTGATGGGGTTGAAGAAGGATGATGACCTCTATTTGAAAACTGTGAGATCTTAAGGAGATTTTAATGATTGAAGACGTTCATAGAACTTTTCTCTGAAATTGGCTTTATAATGTGGGAAAGGGCAATAATATTTGTGGCATATTGAAGGGTATGGAAGATCTACAGGCATCATTTGTTCAATAATCACAAGAAAACCTGAAAGATATGTTTTGATTCCATTTAACAGGTAAGTATGGAAGTTGAGTAAATTGTCTTTTCTGCTGTTTTTTCAATAACCTCTTCTTCAGGGATGCCTATCACTGTTGCAATTTCAAACATCACTTCTCTAAAGATAACTCTCCAAATCCAAATCTGCAGGTGGGAGAGTGCTCATTTCTACTAACAGTCTGACTGTTCTTGAAAAGGGAACGTATTTAATACTAAATTCATGGGTTTTCTTACTAACCAATACTTTCATATTGGGGGAATATCCATTGTCTATTGCACTCAGATTTGAGGACTTGAGTTACCTTATTTTTCTCCTTTTCTGATGAAAGATTCTCCACTTGAAGCTGCTGCTGATATTCATGCAAGCCCTTCAATCCCCATGGTCCCTGTTTCATTTCAGGCTTTTATTAGCTCATGCCTGAACTAGTATGATAGCATTGTAATAAAATTTTCTATTTCACTTTTTTTTTCTGTTTTTAGGCTGTACTTTACTGTCAGATTTAGTCTTCCTCAACTAGCAGTATATAAGTTTTCACTCCCTAGTTACAAATTTGATGGATTCCTTTAAAATTTAAATCCAAACTCCCTGGCATTCAGGACCGTAAGACAATTTTCTCCCAATATATCTCTACAACCTTGTATGTAAATGCTACCATAAAAATAAGGTTCAAACAATCCACTTGTAAACACGCTACACAGGCCAGGTGTGGTATCTCACACCTGTAATTCCAGCACTTTGGGAGGCTGAGGCAGGATAATTGCTTCAGCCCAAGAGTCAAGACCAGGCTGGACAACATAGTGAGAACCCATCTCTATAAATAACAAAAAAAAAGTAGCCAGGCATGGTGTATCGCACCTGTAGTCCCAGCTACTTGGGAGGCTGAAGTGGGAGGACTGCTTGAGCCCAGGAGGTTGAGGCTGAAGTGAGCCATAATCACACCACTGCACTCCAGCCTGGGCAATAAAGCAACAAAGTGAGACCCTGTATTTCTCAAACAAACAAAAACAAAAAACAAAAAACAAGAAGGAAGAAAGAGAAGAAGAAAGAAAAGAAAAATACATAAATAAAAATAGACACATAGACATGCTGTAGAGTTATTACGGGCATACAGTGTGCCAAGCACATATGTATGAGCTTTACATATAGTGACTTTCATAACAACCCTATAAAATAGAATGACCATAGTTACAGAAGTAGTCACAATAGTAATTGTAGTAGCAGCAGTGATGGCACCGGCCACCTGTCTGGAGCGGCCGCTGCAAAGACACCGGCTGCACCAGGGGAGGTGCCGCCAGAGCTGCGCACTCAGCAAAGCCAGGGTGGGTGGAGGGCCGGGGCGGGGGGAGCTGGGAACAGGCAGGGGTCCCGCCCCCTACCGAGCTAAAGGGTGGGGAACCCGTGCTAGGGGCACAGCTGCAGAGCTGCCGCCGCAGACCCAGGCATCCCTGTGCTTTCGGGGGGCCAGGAAGCCCCTGACCCCACAGGTTCAGCAGTGCCTGCTTGCTCCCATTCCTGGCCTCTGCCTGCTCCCTGTGCCCACTTCAATTTTGGAGCAAAGTGATGGCCAAGCCTGGGTGCTGCTGCAACCTGGCCAGGCGTGCGCATGCTCAGGGAGGCGCTGTTACACCAGCCCCCTGCCTCCTCAGCCCCCTCTGGACTTTGGGCACTGATGAGCACGGGAGAGAGGCGAGGAGGCGCTGTGGGCTGCTGGGCTCAGGCCTAGAGGCGCCCTTCAAAACGAACAGCCTGGGTGCTGTGGAGGGCACGTTGATGGCAGCAAAAGGAAGACAGGCTACTGGACAGAAAGGGACGGGTCCCAGTGAAGCCCCACCTTCAAGCCAGGGATGGCTTCAATCCTGGAGGCCGCGCTGTCAGTTCCGGTCGGAGTCTGTGGCCTGGAGTGAGCACTAATGGTTCTTTTTCCAGGCCCGCCCATGGCCACCCATGGACCAATCAGCATGCACTTCCTCCCTTCTGAACCCATAAAAACCCCGCTCCCCGGACGCAGCCGGAGTCACGCGAAGTCGGAAGTACCAGCTGCGGGAAGGAGCTGCCCACTGTGCGTCTTCTCAACTTGTTGGGACAACCTTCCTGCGGAAAGGAGAGACAACCTTCCTGCAGAAAGGAGCTACCTGCTTCAGGTCTACTGAGAGCTGTTCTGCCACTCAATAAAGCTCTTCTCCATCTTGCTAAGCCTCCATTTGTCCGCAATACCTCATCTCCCTGGACGCAGGACAAGAACTCAGGACCCGCCTGGAGGTACTAAAAGAGCTTTAACACAAACAGGGCTGAAACACGCTCCCTTGCTTGCCACATTGCGGGTGACGAGAAGGAGAAAAGAGCTGTGTTCCTTTGAGGATCCCAGACCTAGGGTCTCCCTGAGCCAGGGCTGTGACACTCCCTTTGGGGTTCTATGGTTCCTGGCATCTTCAAGCTTCCAGGCGCCACCACCTTCGTTCCCTTCATCCAAACAGGTGCCCACAGCAGAATCCACATGCCGTCCATCTGGTCCAGCCTCACGCAGAGCCACAACTGTGCTGGCGCCTGGAGCTGCCAGCCCCACTGCAGCAGCCGGTATGTATGGCTGTTGCCGGTCCCTGCGCTCGTTCACCCACACACCCCTTGCGGCTCCGCGCCTAGCTCTCCCTGGGCAGGTGTGGGATCTGGGCTGGTGGCGGGAGCCAAGCACAGCCTACCGGGCCAAGTGGGCGGAACAAGCCCAGTGGGCACGAGCAATACTCAGGCAGAAGGTGCTGCCAGCAACAGAGGTTTCTGGCTGATGAAACGACACCTCAAGGATCCCATGACAGCAGTAATAGTAGCTGTGGTAGCAGTCATAATAGTAGTTATTGTACTAGCAGACGTAGTAGTTATAACAATAGTTATAATAGTTGTCTTAATAGCAGTGAGAGTAGTTACAGTAGCAGTTAAAATCGTTGTAGGAACAGCAACTACAAATACTTGATTGACTAACACTAGTACAACTAAGATATTTATAGTACTTACCATGCACCGGAGAGTTCACACACATTATTCTTTGCCTTTTGACCATTTTCCTCCTTTGAGATAATTGTCTCCTCATCTGTCTCTCCTCTCTCTCCTTTAGGCATTTCATCTGTGAAACTATTTATATCCCTTAAGGGATGCCCCTCCATATCTTTATATCTACTTCTCCTTCATCCCAGCTCCAATATTGTGTCTTACCATCATTATGTTTTGTAAAAGGAAAAAAGAAGCCATTCCCTACTTTAAACTTCTCTGCTTTGTATCTAGGACTGACATTCAGACGTGGAGCAAGTTGGACTGCATAGGGACCCACCAGTGAGATGGACGCTGTCTGTAAACGGTAGGGATGGCGGCCCGTCGCGGTGGCTCACGCCTGTAACCCCAGCACTTTGGGAGGGCGAGACGGGCGGATTATGAGGTCAGGACACCGAGACCATCCTGGCTAACACGGTGAAACCCCATCTCTACTAAAAAAAAAAAAAAATCAGCCGGGTGTGGTAGTGTACCTGTAGTCCCAGCTACTTGGGAGGCGGAGGCAAGAGAATCGCTTGAACCCGGGAGGCGGAGGTTGCAGGTAGCCGAGATAGCGGCATTGCACTCCATCCTGGGTGACACAGTGAGACTCTGTCTCAAAAACAAACAAACAAACAAACAAAAAGGAGTAGAGATGGCTGTGCTGGCCACACTCTGCCTCCATCCACCTTTCCTGACACTCTACTCCATGCTGGCCACTTGGCATGTTTGACTTTCCATCACTGACTGCCCTGAGCTAACCTACTTTTTTTGTCTGTTATTTTCCATATGAGCAAATCCCTAACAAAATCTTAAATTTTTATGAGGGGATGTAGGAGGGGTATTATCTATGGATGTTAATGGTATTTTTCATAGATGCCATCTTTTCTAATTTAAAAATTAAGGCATAATATTCAGAGTAGGAAATCTGTAATACATGAAGTTATAAAAAGTGATCCTTTATGTAATCACACATAATCCTTCTACCTCTAGGACATCATGGTACATACATGTTGATGTCTATCCTTTTAGTTTTATACACACAATTTTTTGTCAATTGTTTATTTTTATTTAGCAAAATAGTGTGACCATCTCAAAAAATACTCATTCTTCAAAAGTGTACCTTTTCCAATAGTGCCCAGTGAAACCTTTTATATATATATTTACAAAATTCATACTGAATACTGTAATTATTTCCTTGTTTTCAGGCAAAACCCTTTTTACTATTTTTATTACTTATTGATACATAATATTTGCACATATTTATGGGGGACATGAGAAATTTTGGTACACATATAGAATGTGTAATGACCAAGTCAGGGTATTTAAGATATCCATCACCTGGAATATTTACCATTTCTTTGTGTTGAGAACATTTCATATCTTTTCTTCTAGCTATTTTGAAATATACAACATATTGTTAACTACAGTTAACCTTCTGCGCCGTCAAGCACTAGAATTTATTCCTTCTGCCTAACAGTGTACTTTTAAATGGATGCATAGATCATAATTTACCCTCATTTTTGGTCACTGAGAGTATATGTAGAGTGTATACTTATTTAGGACAGAGTGAGGATTAGGGTTAGTAAAGCCCTCTGCCTTCCCTAGTTCTTCATTATCCCGTTTGTACACAAGCATTAGTACATAATGCTTTTCTGTGTCTCACCTCTAGCTTTCAAAACTTTGTATGGCAAAGCAAAACCCATCCTTGTGTTTATTCCCAGAACTTGCTTCCTAACAGGTATCTGGGGATGTTCCAATGTCCCCTTACCCCGTCTCCAGGACCTTCCTATTCCCAACTGCCTTTCTCTGATCTTCTCTAGTAGTGATATTTGTATGCTGGGAACTGTACTAAAGGTTTTCTGTAAGATATATTATCTTTTTTTGTTTTTAATTCTCACAGCTCTGAGAGACAATTATTATGCTTACATTCTCCCATGCCTTCCCCTCTCACCCCTAACCTTAGAGGATATACTAATTTGCATACTGGTTTAGAGAGAAGCAGAGGGCCATCTGTTTGAGTCTAAGCTAGGAAACTTTTTGCCTTTGAAGACTTTCACTGAATGTGCTAAGAAGAGAAACCCCTCTGCAGACACACACAGACGTTCTGCAGTTTCCCAATCTCTGGTGCAGTTCTGGCCTTTTGGGGCTTTAAGGGCTTTGGCTAAGGTAAGAAGAATCTGTCATTTCTTCCCAAGGCTCAGAATGGGCAATTATAATTGTTCTTGACAAGTTTAAACAGGCCAAAGGAGCTTTTCTCAGATTTGGGGAATTCCTAAATGATTTTTTAATACAAATCTTTTTTTTTTAATGATAGAACATTATACTCACAGTTCTTGTTTTTTAGGGCTCTGTTTGCATTGGGTATTTTTCCTATTTTGAATATCCAAAGCTGGAAAGTTTGAGGTTTGTTTTCTGCCAGGGCACTCTGAGTAGAACTTGAAAGTTTGGCTTGAGAGACCTAACATAGCTTTGATAGTGTTCACCCAGTTATTCTATAAACGAATATTTCAAAAAGAGGATTTCGAGATCCCTCAAATGTCGAGTCACCAGATAAAATACATGATGCCCAGTACGATTTGAATTACAGATAAACAACAAATAATTTTTAGTATTAATGTAAGTATGACTCATGTCAATTGGGATATACTTATGCTAGAAAATTGTTGTTTATCTATATTTTTTATTTGCTAAATTCTGCAAACTTATCCAAGTGTTTATAATTAACTACGCTGGTGAAAACACCAAATAATGAATGTGTCCTAATATTTCCTGAGGACTATATTAATATAATTTCATGTAATCTTTCTAACAATACTATGATACACACATAATCAATTCTATGTAACAGAAAAGAGAATTGAGCTTCAGGGAGTTTTAAAATTTGGCCCAAATCACACTATTGGTGAGTGGCAGATCTGTGAGTTAAAGACAGGTCATCTGATTGCAAAACCCACCTTCATTCCAACTCGCCTAAGGTGTTTAAAATGTGTTAGGAACACTGAGCAGCCCTTGCTTCCCCATGAAGCAAGCAAATACCTAGAAAGCTGACCTGAAGTGCCTGGGGCCCACATTTCAGGTTCACAGTGTAATTATAGTGCTTGGCATTCAGTGCAGACACACACATCATCATTCTAATTAAGCAACTGTCTTAATTATCAGGTTCTCCAGGGAGGCTGCTCTGCCAAGTCTGGTATTTCATGAATAGATCTGAAAACAGACATTATCTCTTCTCCCAGTGAAGAGAGAGCGATGAAGCCTCAGGACAAAAGGAGGCAGTGGGATGATGCCACCAAGGGACCATTCTGAAGAGCCATCAGCAAAAAGCAGCCACACCTGCTTATGTGGCTCTGGGACAAATGATCTGAGCCGTGACGTGGAACTTAGATGCAGTAAAGTCCATTGTATTGAGCCTTCTCTGGCACTCCTCCCAAAACAGAGAGACAACAGTTCTGTTATGTTTTGTTTGGTTTGGTCTCCCTCAACTCATCAATGAGCCTTTTTAAAAAGAATAATTCGGTACTTTCTTTAAAGGTGGTAGAATTGGCTCTTACTCTAGTCTGTTTTCTCCTTCCTAAGGGAGGAGCATCCTTCTTGTTAACACAGAACCCCAAACTATCTGATCAGAAAGAAAATAATTCAATCTGCTGTTTGAATTGACTTCCAGCAGCGTCTTAAATTTTAATTGGCCCCCGGCCTAAAACAACCTCAAACTGTATGTCTTCCATACTCCTCTCACCACCACCATCACCACTGCCCCTACAACCACTCTAAGCATAGTACATATGGTGAACATACCATGATATTGAATGCTATTCTCACTCTGCCTTCTCTTAATCTGATCTTACTCAGGTTCTGACAGTTGACGCTGAAAACATTTTTTGTTGTTGTTGTGGTTGAGACAGAGTTTCGCACTTGTTGCCCAGGCTGGAGTACAGTGGTGCGATCTCGGCTCACTGCAACCTCCGCCTCCCGGGTTCAAGTGATTCTCCTGCCTCAGCTCCCCAAGTAGCTGGGATTACAGGCATGTGCCACCATGCCTGACTAAGTTTGTATTTTTAGTAGAGACGGGGTTTCTCCATGTTGGTCAGGCTGATCTCGAACTCCCGACCTCAGGTGATCCGCCTGCCTCGGCCTCCCAAAGTGCTGGGATTACTGGTGTGAGCCACCATGCCCGGCCATGACACTGAAAACATTTTAAAGGAGAAACAGATTACCAATTATCCATAAAGATGAGAATTATCTGGCAACATTTTGGTTAGATGAAAACTGTGACTAGAGAGCTAACAAAAACAAACACAATGAGCACTAGATATCTGCCAGGCATTGTTCACAGCCCCTTTTTTGGTCTCATCTGATCCTTGCTGTAGATCAGGAATCAACAAACTAAGCTTTCACCACTTGTCAGGGGTAAAGCCATGTCAGTCTGAGTCCCAATGCCACACTGTTAGCCACTCTCCCACACCACCTGCTCCAACTATTTGAAGAAGGAGAATGTTTTTCCAGTTAATAAAGTTAATAGTTAAAAACTGAAGGATGCTCTTTGTTTTTTAACTTTTATTATTAACCAAAACTTGAAAATATATATCCTCCCCCAGTGATACCTCTATTTAGAATATTAGAATGGATATTTGGTACTTAGCCTTCTATTTTCCTGGATGAGTAATATTTTGAGGCCTGTGCAGTTGTTTAAGATACAGATCATTCTGTCTCATACCAAGAGGGAGTTTCCATGCTCTTCTGTGTTGGGCTGGCCTTGTAAGTTTATTTTAATATGGTATTAGCATCCATCGTCACCACTAATTGCTGTTTACTAAGGAATCACACAGTGCCTGCCGTGTACATCAGAAACACACTTGACTGAGCTTACTCTTCACTAGGAAGCAGGAGGCAAAAATATGAATTAGCTTCTTTTTATGCATGTGAAGATGCTTGTCTGTCTTTACTACTTCCCAGGAATACTGCCAGTGAGGAATGCTCTGGAATTCTAATCTATTAGTACTGAATAACATAATAAAACTGACATGAATACAAATGACAAGGTGTAGTTTACACATCCTGGTATTAATCTCAAGAGCCTGAGCACTCACATGAAAGCAAAGGATTAACCACTTCTCCTTTGGGGATCTTGTTCCGTCACTCTCTGTGCAAACATTCACCTGTAGAAAAATGAGATTTGGAATTAGGCTTTAGGAGTCACTGGAGGGTGATCAGTAGAGAACAAAATGCCTTCCCTTGAGAAAGTCCTGGAAGCTCCTAGCTCAATCTCTGCTCTTGATCACCTTGCTCTCTTGGTTGGTTGGTTGCTCGCTTTCCCCCTTAATAATTCTGAGGCTCTGACTTTTTCACATTGCACATGTTTATCTTGCAAAAAAATGCATGCATATCTGTACTTATAAAACACATTTATTGGGGAGTTGTCATCTATTTAGTAGAATAATTAATTTTTCTAAACACCCTGACTGAATTCTTTTGAGGCATGAAAAAGAGTATCAGACTCAATATGGGGAAATAAAGATCTTTGGCTCAAAGATCTTTGGCTACTTCTCAGGGATTCTGAGGCTTCTTTTCATGAACTTGTGATACCATGCATGACGCATAGAAGTTTACACATCCACAGCAGGCAGACACCATCCTGCTCCATCCTTCCATGACAATCGTGATGTAGTCGAAACTTACAGAGGACTTACTGTGGCTAGGCATTTGTTAAGGAATTTGCTCAGATCATCGCCAGTGGGACCACAGATGGCCTCTGAGGTGCCTCAGAAACATAACCAGCCTCTCTTAGGCACTGGCATGATAACTCATTTCTGTTTGATTGTGCTGTATGTAACATAAGCATTAGGAAGTTGGGAAAAATATACTTAATTTATTTGTCCCAGAGAAGTGAAGAAATTCATAAGATTATGGTCTCCAGAGCCAGAAGACTTGGGTTCAAATTTCAATGTGAGCAATTACTAGCTGGGTGACTTTGGGCAAGTAATTTAACCTCTTCGTGCCTTCCATTCTACATGAATAAAATGGGAAAATGAATGTGTCTGAGAATAAAATGAATTAATAGATGTGATATGCTAAGAACAGTGTCATTATTGAATTAAGGTTAGCCAATAACCAACCACATGTTCAAGTTTAGTGAAGAACTATAGACCAGATGGGGATTCTTGATTTTACTATCATACTCTCATTACATTTCTGGAATAATCTCTACTTGATCATCAAGTATTATTTTTAAATGCTCTACACGAATCTGTTTATTAATATTAATTTAATAATTGAATATGTTAATATTACATATTTTATGATATTCTGTGAAATGATACTTATATTATTCCTAAAAAAGATAGGGCCTGCTTATTAGTCTGTTCTCACACTGCTATAAAGACAATACTTGAGATTGGGTACAATTCAAGATGAGATTTGGGTGGAGACACAAAGCCTAACCATATCAGTCTGTAGTTTTCTTTGTAATATTTATCAAGCTTTAGTAAAACTAAAATGCTTATTTCATATGAAATATCTGGAAAATTTTTCTCTTCATCTTCACTATAGAATAATTTAAATAACATTGTAATTATTCTTTAAATGGTGATATAATTCCTCTAGTGATACTTTTCCCAGAGTAGTTTTTTTTTAACAACTTTTATTTGTTCCTTCTACAGAAAATGGACTTATGTTTTATAGTCCCACAGGACTAAGTTTTAGTAATTTCACTAAAAATTTTCCATTTGATCAAGATTTTCATATGTATTTACATAAAGTCGAGTAGTATCATTCTTATGACTTTCGAAATTTCTCTTGCTTCTGTTGTTACTTATTTTATGTGCTTATATTTTCTTTTGTCTTGATTAGTTGATAATCTATTAAAAATCAGCTTTCACATGACTAGTTTTACTTCTTTTTAAGACTGATTTTTAACTTTTTAATTTCTTATTTGTCCTTTCTGTCTTCCTTATGTTCATCTTGCTGTCTTTTTCTAACTTCTTGCATCAGATGTTAAGTCTTAGTGTTTAAAGATAAGAATAGCAAAGCTTTTGAGTTTTCTTTTGATTTTAGTTGTATCCCATGTTCTGTTTTGATTTTTATAATTGTCTGGATAAGCTGAGGTTATACGCTATATATTTCCTTGGTACTAAAAATTCATTAAGAAATAATTCATCAATCTCCAATGGTGGAGTATTTTTTTATTATAATTAATAGTCATTGAATTATAATAATATAATGCTGTCTGCATATTTATTATTTAGAATTTATTATGGTTTACTTGGTGACTTAATTAATACACAACCAGCTTTTGAGTGTGATTTGTCAGCAAGGTATGTTCTCTCTTATTATACAAAGTATGATTAATATCAATCAGGTGTACTTTTTTATTAGGGTATTTAGATATTCTATACCTTTGCTTATTTTTCGTTCATTTTATCATGAAATACAGATGAATTCAATTATCTTGCTAACATTCATGTTTCTTTAGATAGTAACTATTAGTCTTGCTATGAGCAATAATAAATTTTCTCTTTATTATCACCAGATTTTAGTCCATAATTTTATCTTTCTTTGGGTTTACTTTGTACACCTAAATATAGTTAATTTTCTATTACATGCTCTATCAGCATGTAATAAATAAATGACTTCTAGCCCAGCTATGATTAATGAAGCAATCAGTGAACTTACTTTACCTCTCATCTTTCTTCTCTTCCTAATTCATGTTGTTGGATCATTTCTATTATACATTGTCAAGGCATTGGAAGTGTGCATTATGCTCTCATTCTCATATGCACTTCTCTTTTAGTCTTTCTCAATCAAAATGGATTGAATATATTCACCACCTCCAATTCTTTTGTCTTATCTCCTCAGCCATTCCTTGGTTCATTGAAGTTTTGTTTTCTAGTAATTTCATCAAGAAGGGATAATGGGTAAATATTTGCTGGACATTCCATGTTCAAAATTGCCAGCCAAGAAAGCTTAGCTGGATATAAAATCTTTGTCTAACACTTTCTTTCCTTAAGGATTTTGTAGATGTTGTTCCACTGTTTCCTGTCAATGAATGTTGCTTAGGATAAATCTGAACTCAGTTTGATTTTTGTTTCCTCTTACACATGACTTGACCTTTCGCCTTGTTTGCCAGAGAAATTCTTCCTTTTATTGTAAAAAACCACCAATGTCAACAAGGTATATCACAGTATATATTCTAGCATTAACTATTAACTACTCCGTGGTATATTTTGTGCCTTTTCAATAGGTAGGTTCATAGTATTTATGTGGCAGGAAGTATTTTTGAATTATATATTTAACAGTTAGTCTTATTCAGTTCGGCTTTCTTCTTCAAGGACTTTAATGATATGCATGTTAGATATTCTTTGTCTATATTGTATTGTTTATTATTTTCTTTCCAAACCTTTTAGACTGTTTATTTCCCTTTTTATGTTTGATTTCTTCTTTCTATCTTCTGTGGCTTTACTGTGACTTTCTCTGTGTTTATCCTATCTTGGTGCCTTTCAACTATATCTTGATTTCTGTAACAGCTTTATTTTCCCATTTTTTTCCCCTGAAATTTGCCAGTTCACCTTTCATATCCTTCTGCTAAATTTATTATCTCTTCTCTGAATTCTTGCATTTTGGCTTCATGGAGTTCCTCATAGAAGCAATTAATTATTCTTTGGGATTTTAAACTTTTCGTCAAACATACTTGGTCACAATTTTTATCTATTCCATGGCAAGTGCATGTATTTGAGGTCTAAGAACTAGATTGGTTTCCTAGTTTCACTAAACACAATGTACTAAGTTGTTTTTTTTTTTTCTTTTTTGGTATATTTTAGATGACTTCTAGGAAGAAAAGAAAAAATTCTGATTAAACAGCCATATTCATGCTGGAAGTCTACACTTTGAATTTCTTGCACTCCAAGATTCTAACTGTTGACCAGTTATCAGCTGACATTCTATATATGTTTGATGAGTAGCTGAATGGCTGAAAAGATTAGTGCAAACTAAAGAATTACTAAAGTCCTGAATGTGATGTTTGGTTATGTCTATAATTTATAGAATTTTCCCTATTATTTTAAATGCTAACATTTCATGGAAGTATATTTGAATATAAAAGATTATAAAATTACTAATCCAGCATTTTAAAAATCCCCTGCTGAATTTCTTAGAAGCAGATATAAATAATATATTCTCTAGGTAATTTCATGTATTTATTTTTTTCTTTCATGTTCTAATTTTGTTGAGACAAAAGGAGGGCTTTTTCTTTCAACCAAAATAATCAGAAATCTTATCAGTTTAGTAATTAGGGATTGAAATACAAAGCTAGTGAAGTAAGGCTACATTGCAAAGTCTGATAGTGTACAGTAGTTTAATGTTTATTTCTCTGGCATCATGTCCTCTCTGTAAGAGAATGTGTTGGAAGGTAAGCACAAATAGTTTTTTGCTTGACATGCTGTATTTCGTCATGCTGCTAATTAGCACAAACACTTACTCCAAGAAGTGAAATCATTACTTTCTCTGGGAGTAACTGAGAGGTTCTTTGTAGTGGAGAAAAAGCCCAGGTGTCCAGCTTGAAATAGCAATTACCACCCAGGTGTCTGTCGTAGTAACAACAAAATACTTTAGCTAAAAATCCAAGAAGAAGAATGGAACTGCTTCATTCTTTCTATGTTGGATGGCATTCACGAATATGTATTAGTAAATAAAATAATTATCTCTTGCTGTGTAAAAAACTACTTCAAAATTTAGCAGCTTAAAACAGCAAGCATTTATTATCTCACATGGTTTCTGAGAGTCAGAAATCTGGGAGCAGCTGAGCTGGGTGGCTCTAGCTCTGGACGTCTTGTGAGGTTTTACTCCAGCCGTTGCCTGGACAGTCACCTGAAGCTTAGCTGGGGCTGGAGGGTCTGCTTGCAAGCTCCCTCCTCTGGCTGTTGGCAGAAGGCCTCAGTTTCTCACTATGTGGGCCTCTCCGTAGGACTGCTTGCAACAAGGCAGCTGGTTTCTCTCAGGGTGAATTATGAGAGAGAAAGAGATAAAAATTGAACGTCTTTTATAGCATAATACCATCCCTTCTACTATATCCTGTTGGTCACATTGACCAACTCTGGCACAATGCAGGAAGGAACTACAAAGAGTGTGAATTCAGGAGGTGGAGACTATTGGGGGCCATCTTGGAAGCTGATAATCACCAGGTACTAAACTTGTTCCAGGAAGTACCCCAGGCATAGATAATACATGTATGAATAGGACAATTTATTTATTCCTTTTATTAGTCTTGTGATCAATAGAACATGTATTTAATATCTACTATATGCCAGCATCTGTGTTACACAAAAGGTATTCTAAAGTAAATAAGACATGAGCTTATCCTTATATTCTGGCGGGAGAGATAAATATGTCAGTAAATAGACAATGGTGTTCCACTCTAACATAAAAGAGATTACACTAAGTATTGTAGGGGCATTTTGGAGAGAGGTTGCGTAGAGAATGTGCAAAGTTGAGCAATTGCTCCGAAGTGCATTTGAGTAGGATAGACAGAGCGATTAGCGTTGAGAGCTACAGCCACTCAGTATTTTAGAAGAATGAAATAGCATGCATATAGATTTACTTTTGCAAATACAGGTGCAACAGTGTCTCTTGCCCTATGTGCTCTTCTTCAACGTGACCTGGACATTTTCCCATCTAGAATTGGGATCTATTTCTCTGTGCTCTTAAATCTGAGGGTCTTGGGAACTGCCTTCACTAATAGACTATGGTAGAAGTGTTGCCATGCCTTTTTCTGTTATAGCCTTTAGCTAGCTGCGCAGTTTCTACTGCCTGCCTCTTGGAATCTAGCTTCCGTGTAAAAAGTGAGACTTCTTTTAGATACCCTTGCTGCAAGAAGGTAAGCCAAGTGAAGAAAGCCTGGAGGATGAGAAGCCACATGAAGAGAGAGAGAGGTCAAGAAGCCCTAAGGCACCAGATGTGAGTAAAGAAGCTATTTTGAAGAAGATTCTTCCACCCCAGCTGATGCAATATTGATCAGAAACGACCACCCTTTGGAGCCGTTTCTACATTCCTTACCCCAAAAAATCATTAGCAAAATAAAAATGATTGCTTTTAGCTATTAAATTTTGGGGTAGCCAGTTGTCCTGCAAGAGATAACTGAAATAATGAGCATGTCACATTACATAATTAGTAAACCATATAATGGAGCTAGCCTAAATTACAGACTGGGGCAGGCCAGCGTGAAGCTGGCACAAAATTCAATGAAAAACAAAACATACTTTCTGTGTTCTGCCAAATGCTGTTAGGAAAGAGGTGGACACACTCAACTCTTCTGAATGGCAGAGTGGCATAATGAGATTCGTGATTAGAGATGATCATACTGGGAGAAATTCAGAAGATAAGTGACACGGTGGAGACATTTGAGGAAAGCGGCACCATTCTTCTTTTATTATTATTATACTTTAAGTTCTGGAATACACGTGCAGAACATGCAGGCTTGTTAGATAGGTATACATGTGCCATAGTGGTTTGCTGTACCCATCAACCCATCATCTAGGTTTTAAGCCCCACATGCATTAGGTATTTGTCCTAATGCTCTCCCTCCGCTTGGCCCCAGCGTGTGATGTTCCCCTCCCTGTGTCCATGTGTTCTCATTGTTCAACTCCCACTTATGAGTGAACATTCAGATGCAGCACCGTTCTTATACGTGCTCTTGAAATTGACCATACAAGGATGATGAAGGCAGACAATGGAAGAGTCACAGCATAGAGAGGAGCAACACACTTAGAAAAAATTAGTAATCAGAATCACGGAGGTTTGATTAGGAGAAAGGAGTGAGAGAACAATTGTTGCAGATGACTCTACAATGCTTTGCAATCGTCTAAGAAAGCAAACACAGGAAAAGGAGTAGCTATAGTGGGGCAAAGGTGGCTAATGAGTCGGTTTCAAATGTGTTGAATTTGAGGTGCCTATGGGATTTTTAATGACTGCAGTCAAGTATTGGAAAAGCGATTGTACTATGGTTTTACTCTGCCATCATTTTCCCCTCTCTCACACTTCCTGATTATTTTTAATAGAGGGCAGCAATCCAAGAGATGTTGGTTGCTACTGAGTTCCCACTAATAGCTTCATACAGATTCTCACATTGTAATGGTCCTAACATCCCAACAACCCACTTTTCCCATTTGGTATTTTTTTTTTGATATCTAATTACAGGCATAAGATCTCAGTAATGACTGGGTTACATTTTCTGCTAGACAAATTATGGACATAATTATAGGCACATGTTCAGTATAATATCGAAACATCTGATGCTTCTATAGAGAAGATAATTGTCAATCTTTGTAGTGTAATTAAGTCTAAATGGGAATCCTCATCATTTTCCAAATGAGCAAACAGTGAGCTAGTCTTGATTGGCTGTGTCATGGCAGCTAGTGAAATGGATTTGCTGTGTAGGTTAATTAGTCATGTATGAATGTCACAACCCTCAGAAAACTCGACATTAGCTCTAAGTATTAGAGTTAATTAGCAGTACATTGTTGCAACTCTCCATGATATTTACCTGGCTTATCTTTGGAAATCTAGCCTTTCATTTTTTTTTCCTGAATCTTTCTTCTCATAGTGATTCAGAGCATTTAAATTTTCTACCCATGAATTCCAATAAACATGAGAGAGCACAGGAGCAAGGATTTACAGTGAAACAGACCTGGGTTCAAATCCCTTTCAATTTCATTCTTACAGTGAACATTTTGACTATTTACTGTTAATATCTCTCAGTTTCAGTAGTTTATCCATAAATACCTGTTTAATCTTATTTTTAATGCTTTTTTAAATAAACTTGAGGCATTCATAAGTCTTTTCCTTAAGTTTTTCTCCATACATATGATTAACTACAGTTCAATATTTGTTTACAGCCTTTCCTTTGGTGTAAAATGTATTGCACAAGGAAGAACACAAACCTTAACTCTACATTTGCTAACTTTTAGCAAATACATACACCTGTGGAACCCAAACCTCCATCAAGAAATAGAACATTAATATCATTCCAGCATGTTCCCCTAGGCCTCTTCCCAGTCAAATCCCATCCTACCCCTCCAGCAGAAGCAAGTTTTCTGATATTTTTCCACAACTTTTGCTTGTTCTTGAACTTCATTTGAATGTAATAATATAGTCTATAATTTTTTTATGTAAGTCTCTTTTTTCATTAAATGTGATGTTTTGAGCTCCATCCATGTTGCCATTATCAATACATCCTTCCTGCTGCGAGAACTGATATATCTGAAAATTTCTGTTGCTTAATATAATAGAAATCTATTTCTTGTTCATGTCGGAGTACAACGTGGGTATTTCTGGTTCAAGGACACCTTCCTGGATATGGTGAACTGGGGCCCCTGCTAGTTGGGGTTTCACCTTTTCCTAAGGCCTGGGCAGAGCTTCATTCAGCGGCTGATGCAGAGAAAAGGGACAGAAGGTAACCACAGTGTAAATATCCAGCCTGGAAGTGGCGCATATCACTCTGCACAGATGCCATTGGTGGGGTGGGGGACGGGGGGACGGGCACATGGCCATATGTGAGGAGCACAAAGGTGCAAAGCATAAGTCCTGGGTGAGCAGCTTCATTCCTGTACACGCTCCACACTATGGAAGGAAGAGTGCACAGTTTTGATGAAAAGATGGTTCTCTGCCACAATGTCTCACCTTAATCCCATGACCTCCCTCACACTATGCTCTTTCCTGGGATCCTCTGTAAGGACAAATGGAGCATAAACCCTACAAACCAATGACATCATGCCCACAGATTCCACACATCTCAAATCTGGACGTCAATTCCTGTCTATCTAATTGCAGTTTCCCTACAAACTCAGCTTGTCCATGAGCATTCTGCCACTTGCATGGGCTGCTGGATGTCCTCCAAGGCTGTTTCTAATGTTGTTTCCACTTCTGTATTCAGATCTCTCACCTCTGCTAACCTGCTCAAATGTTGGTAATGAAAAAATATTTCCTTAGGTAGGGGTCTGTCTGGTACGCAGAAGTTGTTTTCAAGCAAAATTACTAAAAATACAGATGGTCCCTGGCATACTATGGTACAATTTTTCGACTTTACAATGGTATAAAAGTGATAGGCATTCCGTACAAACCACATTTCAAATTTTTAATTTTGATCCTTTCCCAGGCTAATGATATGAGTACCATACTCTCTCTCAATGCCTGGCAGCGGTGGTGAGCACAGCTTCCAGTCAGCCCCGCCATCTCAGGGGTAAACAACAAATGCTCTACAGTGTACTGTGTTGCCAAGTGATTCTGCTCAACTGTAGGATATTGGAAATGTTCTGAGCACATTTGAGGTAGTCTAGGCTAAGCTATGATGTGTGGCAGGTGAGGTATATTAAATGCATTTTTGACTTAAGATATTTTCAACTTTATTGGTACACGAACCCACCATAAGTCAAGGCACATCTGTACAGAAATCTTTGACTGGAAAATCCCCTAATCATTGTCTTAACTTTTTTTTTCTTTTCAATCAAGCCATTATCAACAAGGCTCCTAGAAAGGTATTGAGATATTTACTATGTGTCTGGCCCTTTGCTAGAACTTTTCACATATGTTATCTAAATTAATTTAAAAATGTTATAAGACACACATTATTGTTACTCTAGGATATAGGATGCTGAGGTCCAGAAGGTGAATGGTATTCCGAAGGCAGAATTACAGAATAACCTGGGATTTGAATTCATGTAATTTGCAGTCTTGTGATTAGAAAAGATACTAAAGATTCTCTAATTCCTTCATTTCAAAGATAGGGAAATAGAAGCCTAAAGCACTCCAGTGATTTGTCTACATCCAAATGCTGGGGAGTGGCTAAGGCTTCTAAATCTATTATGTCTGTTTTTTTAAAAAACAATAAATGTCATTATTCCTACACCCTTGCACTATGCCTGAATTGATTCCTAGTTAACAGTGACCAGTAGGGCAGCTTCTGTTTGGAGGCTGCCTATCAAAATACTCAGCTTCCACCTGAATGCTGATGTCACATCAACTAGCTATCTTCCTAAAATGATGAAACCACACTTTGCCTTTGCTAAACACTTTTTCTCTTAAAGTCTTCCCAAAACCTGTTTAGCAAAGGCAAAAAGGCTTTAACAAAATTTCCCCTAGTTCAAAGGTATGAATTCACTGCATAGGTGCAATTCAAAGTTTTTGCTACCACAACAATCAGCTTCTCATATTACCTTGCTATGCTTTGCTTTTATTGTCTGAACCCAAATCAGCTTGGCTCAGCACTGGCAACAATGTCATATTTAACTGCTGTAAATATGTTTTCCTCGCTATCAGGCATCTTTATTTACTCTAAGTAAGGCAATAAACTAGTGTAGGTTAGGAGTCACCTACATACTGAAAATGAAATGGAAAAACATTCCCGCCAAGAAAATAAAATATCTTTGAAAGGTGACATGCCGTGTTACTTTTGTTAATCCCTAGTTGGGGGCCTTGTAAACACACAGCCAGAGTCCGCTGCAGTAAATACCTATGATGATATGTATCTAAGTGAGTGGGTATAAAAGGAAAAGAGAAAATATTTTCCCCCTAAAGAACAATAACATACAATCTTGTAAGCCAGTTAGCAAAGCACTCTGGAGAGACCTCACTTGCTGCAGTGATATGCAATTTGTGGGAAGCCACTAATTGCAACTTATAGAACATGGTTTTAAATCTTTCCAGAAAGTGCCTTGCTTATTCAAAATGAGGCATTTAAAGGCTGCAAAGCTGCCAAAAGCTCTTGCCCATGGTGACTGGCATTTTCCTGTCCTGGAGAGAGAGTAGGTCTAACATCTTATAATAACGATTGGACTCAAGTGTCCCATGGGGAGAGTGGAGATGTTGGCCAATACTAAAAAGTAAAATGTAAAAAAAGAAAGCTACCATTTGCTTGAGGACAATCTGATTTCAGGATATATATATATATATATATATATATATATATATATATATATATAGACACACACACACACGCACACACACACATATATATACACATACATATATGTATATATATATGTCTATATATATGACTATCTGATTTCAGGCGCTCTCTATATATATAGATATATAAATATATAGATATATATAGATATATAAATATGTAGATATATATTATACTTAATAGGTTTTACCTTCAGCAGGAAGGCTCTGCTAGATATCTTCTAGGAAAAAAAAGTTTTTAAAAAAATCACTTCCAAACCACTTACTAACCAGAACACTGCCTACTTTCTAGAAGTCAATTAATGCACAGTTTTTGAATGATGAATATAGTTTTCGTTAATTGAGAACATATCACACCTCTGGCATTCAGGTCAAGTCTATCCCCTGCTGTTTACCATATAGCCCTGCTGGGCTTTCTTGAGTGTTTCAGATCTTTTCTCATGCTGTATTCTTTTCCTTCCTGCTCTCTCCCAAAAGCTTCTCTGTCTAGCTATCTACTCCTTATTCTTCCACACGCAGTCAAAATGTCTAGCAACAGGTAAAGAGTTATAAATTAGGGATTGCCTACCCTGGAGGCTGAACATTTCCCTTGAACTTGTATGTGGTGACAGTTTCCTTCCATGACCCAAGTCTACGTAGATGTCATGCTATGCATCCCTACAGGGTGCTTCACTTTTTCTTTCATGTCACTGGGGACAATTGTGATTGCTTATCAAAGCCTCTTGGTAGGAGCACTAGAGTGGGAGAACATGCTGGTCTGGCTTCCTTTTACCTTCTGTGTCCTCTTCCCTTGGTCCAGTTCCTGTAAGGGCACATAAACATTTGGGGAATGAATGAATCTTCAGTGAATTCGCATTAATACTGTAAGATAGGAATCATTACCCTTAATATACACATAAGAACATTTAGGAAGATTAGAGAAGAAACTTCTCTGGGATTCTTGATGTAATAAGTAATAGAGCTAGTTTGCAAAGCCATGTCTACCTTTCTCTAAAATCTGTAACTTTCCACCCTATGCTACTTTGCCTTATGCTTTAAAAGGACCTCTTACCACACGAATTTAGGATATAAAAGTGAAAATAGTACCAGCAAATGCAAAAGAAAAAATGCAAGTGAAATTTACATGTGCAATGAATGGTTAAGAGATGGCCAGCAGTTTTAGTGTGTTTAACTTGCCTTTTTTTTTTTTTTTTGCCTTGGTGCCTCATGGGTATTAGCTCAGAAACCAGCAGTTCCTAAATATATCTCATGGTTACTTAAAAGGAAGTTAGGAGGCTGAGGATGAAGTGAAGCCAACCTGTGTTTTCCTACCCTGGCAAAGAGTTTGAAATCTGTAGGAGTGGCTTCACTAGTCAAGTCAGGACTGAAACATACCACAAGGGAGAGGGCAGTCACTTACACTGACTCTGATGGGAAAAATAATCCCTATAACCAATCTCTACTCACCGTTTAGTTTGGTCTGTGACTACTTCAACCAGAGGTAATAAGATTATAGCCATGTGGAACGCTTTCAGAAGATGACATCCTTTGAAAGGCATATAATTGGTGGTTTTATTGGAATACTGCATCGAGCTAACTTTTATAAATATGCAGAATGCCTGAGAAAAGCTGAAACTCTATTGAATGATTTGGAGAAGGCAGACATTGCCAATTTCCACACTACAGTGCTTCTGAGTAGATTATGTGGAGACTGGTGCCCATAGCTTGAATCAAGGGCTACTTAGACTTTGTGAGAGAGGTTCACAGTTTCAACTGGGTGATGGTTCCTCTTGGAACTAAAAATGACAGAAATTATTGAAATTATCATTGTCAAACATCTCACCAAGCTGTCAACCTCATTAAGTAAATAAGTAAGTAAATATTTATTTATTTAAAGCCCAATTATGAACAAGTTTGTAAGTGAGAAAGGGTGGGGCTGCTCAAGAAGTCTATTTTTCATATAGACCAGATAGACCAGACCTTAAGCCAAAAAAAATATAAAGCTCCTAAATGTAAACCAGGCTTTGCATGCATTTGGCACATTTAAATGTGAACCCTCAAATACAGTGCCACCCTAAGGTATGTAAAGTATGACCCAGTGGTGGCTTGAGCACTGCTTGAGTAAGAGGAGGACTCCAAGAGGACTTGTTGAGCTAAAGGTGAGAGGAGAAGCCAGGCAAGGTGGCACACCCCAGTAGTCTCAGCTACCAGAGGCTCAAGTGGGAAGGTCACTTGAGCCTAGAAGTTCAAGTACAGCCTGGGCATCATAGTGAGACTCCACCTGTAAAAACAATAATTGAGGTGATGGATAAAAGAGGAAATTCACAAGGCTGAAAAACTGGCATAAAATTATGGGAGGAGCATAAACTTCATGGCCAGGAACTAATCGTTTTCACGGATTAAATAAACACAAATTGGGTGCTCCAGTGGGGCAATCTGTTAGTGTGTGGTACTTATACATAAATACACATGAAATATTTTTATAAGTCATTTTAGGAACAGTGCTAAATCCCAGGAATAGGAAAAAGAATCATACAAGGTAATTAATAAATTATTTTTTGATATGGTTTGGCTGTGTCCCCACTCAAATCTCATCTTAAATTCCCACCTGTTGTGGGAGGGACCCAGTAAAAGGTAATTGAATCATGGGTACAGGTCTTTCCCATGCTGTTCTCATGATAGTGAATAAGTCTCATGAGATCTCATCGTTTTAAAAAGGGGAGTTTCCCTGCACAAGCTCTCTTCTCTTGTCTGCTGCCATGTGAGACGTGACTTTCACCTTCTGCCATGATTGTGAGGTCTCTCCAGCCATGTGGAACTGTAAGTCCAGTAAACCTCTTTCTTTTGTAAATTGCCTGGTCATGGGTATGTCTCTATCACCAGTGTGAGAACAGACTAATACATTTTTCTTTACAGTGATTTCTTAGTTTAGTGAAGGAATGAGACATGTGGACAGATATTTACCTTAGTAGACAGGAATTCACAAGATACAATGGGCACACAGCACAGAAAGAACTACACACTCAAACACTGAAGAATTTCTAAAGTAAGTTATGCAAGCAAGTGATCCTTGAGGAATATTTTCCAGAAAGCTAGTTATGTAATACATTAGGATAGGCCAATACTAGAAAGGAGGAAAATCTCCAGAATGCTATTGTAGCAATTCAGGCTCCAGTGGGATATGGCCTAAAGAAATAATATTTGGTATTAAAAGCTGATTTTATGAGTATTCAAGAAGAAATTTGCTTTCCCGTTCATTCTCTTGTATGGCTCACATTGTGTGTGTCTGTGTGTGTGTGTGTGTGTGTATACTCAAACTTCATCAATCCACACTCATTCAATAACTAGTTATCTATTTGTTAATCATTTATTGTGTCCCAGGAACTGAGCTAAGAACTGCCGGAACAAAATGGATGGTATAAGAGCCCTATCCAATAGGTACCACTAATTGAATGACCTCTTTGTATCTATCTAAAGACTTAGCCTAAGTTAAGCAAAGCCTGACACTATGTAATCTCCTATATTATGGCATCATGTTGTGGGGATAATGAGTTGAAGTAAAAAGAGCATGGTGTAGCTAGACAGAGGGTCTCAAACTTGAGTGTGTATCAGAATCACCCAGAAGACTAAAACAAGGATTAGTGGACCCTGCTCCAGAATTTCTGATTCAGTAAGTCTGGGTGGAGGCTGAGATCTTTAATTCCAACATATTTTCAGGGAATGTTGATGCTACTGGTCCAGGAATAATACTTTGAGAACCTTTGGAGATATACTAGTTTCTCATTTCTCTTTCTTTATTACTCTAGCTCAGAGAATCTATCCTTCCTTGTCAACACTAGCGGCACCAAAGGTTGAATTCTATGTGGTTCAGCTTTCTGCTTAACATGTGGACTTTTCTCTCCCCAGGACTAAGTTGCAATCTGTTGGATTTCTTTGAGTTTTGTTCTTGTCCAGGGAAAGATGTTCATTAAATAGTAGCTGATGTGGCCGGGTGCAGTGGCTCACACCTGTAATCCCAGCACTTTGGGAGGCCGAGGCGAGCGGATCACCTGAGGGCAGGAGTTCGAGACCAGCCTGGCCAACATGGCAGAACCTTGTCTCTACTAAAAAAAAAAAAATACAAAAATTTGCTGGGTGTGGTGGCGTGCACCTATAATCCCAGCTACTTGGGAGGCTGAGTTAGAAGAATCACTTGAACCTGGGAGGCAGAGGTTGCAGTGAGCCAAAATTGTGCCACTGCACTCCAGCCTGAGAGACAGAGTGAGACTCCATCTCAAAAATAAAATAAAATAAAACGAAAAAAGAAAGTAGCTGACATATAAAGTGTCATGATCCCCAGACTCAGGGGAAGAGACGTGGCCTCTCAGATGAGGGTGGGTGAAGTTTAGTAGCAAACTTACCTGGGGCACCTCCCAGCTGATACCTCTGCATCATGACCTGAACATCTGAACATATGTGCCTTGAGAAAGCAGTCTTTGCCCAAAAGCGTGGGTCCCACAAACTCAAAAGAAGCTCTCAGTGTTTAAAATGAAAAAAGCTCAATCATGACAATAGAAACCATATTCACTATGCAGGAAATTGAAGTTCAAGTCTTACCTATATATCTGAGAAAAAGAAAAACCTGTGTTCAACCTCGGAGTAATCCCTAATGAACTACAAGAATCTCTGTGTGCCCTTTATCAGGTGACCAGCTAGCCATGCAGTCAGTTCGCATCACTGCAGAGCATATGAGGAAAGATGCACTACATTCATTTTCATGCACTTTTTACATATTGAAGTCAAAACTCCAATGTGTAAACTGAAAATTTGAAAAAAAAATTAGCACAATTTCCTCCAGGATTATTTGGCTTGCAAAAATGAAAGTGTAGTTTTATTTTAAGTGACTTTGGGTGTTCTCCCTATCGAAGTCTGGCTACATGTAGTAGAATTTATCTCATTCGTATATGGGGAAAATTAAGCCCTATTTCAGCATATGTCTAAGGACCACTTTACTGCGTGTACAGAGACCCAGGGCACTGGGGAGAAGACATGTTGCATTTAGCCAAGCTTTGATAAAGTAGGATAAGATCTGGGAGGACCTTGCACAAGCAAGGTTTCCACGTTAAAAGAGTTTGAATACACAGATTCCCATCAAAATTATGAATCTCTAGCCCAGTGCGTGGCACATTAAAAGCACTCCATAAATACTTTTGATTTGGAATTTAGTAGAGAAAAAAAGAGCCAAGATTTGTTGGGTTTCACTCTTGAACCTGTAACTCATTTTGTTCTGAAAACATTCCCCAGTAAAAAGGCTTGGACATCCATCTACAGCCTTGGCCATCCATATATATTTCTCTTAATTTTCCACAATATGTCCTCAGCAAGTGTAAAGTTGTAGAAAGGTGAACACCATGGTGTCCTGTAGAAGAAATAAATAGGAGGTCATTTTCCAAGATGCATGGTGACTCTAGACATCATCAGGCCTCACTGTAAAACCTTGCTTTTCCGGATGGTGAATGGATGTGAAAAGTTTTACAAACACTTCTTTTCCAAATGTTGAAGAATTTTAATTTTTTTCTTGTTGTAAAATGTTGATGCTCCAGCCATTGAAAATAGTGCAATATGAAAACTTGCTGATCTGCTTTTTGTCTAGAGAAAGAAAACAATTTGTTTGGCACAAGTCATTGATTTTCCAGTAATTTGAGCAATAAAGGGACTAAATTCTTAGAAAAAATACCAAATCCAACCCCACCTGCCTGATGTTTTCATAAGATACTGCATACTCAGCTTAGAGTCCAGAAACATTTATAATTTGCAGTTCTTAATGAACTGATGGAAAGGCAAAGATGTTAATAATTTCTACAGTTTACAAGCTAAAGGTATACTCATAAATTCCTAAGTAATTATGAACAAAATATTTAAACTCTTGGCCTCAATTTATTCAGTGATAATGTAAGAGCACCAAACTACCTGCTTCTCCAAGTATGTATTAATAAGTAATAGTAAAAATGATAATAATGACTCCTTTTTGAATGCTAGTGTTTTCTACATGTCAGGCATTATGCTAAAACCTTTACTTGAATTATCTCATTTTGTTCTTACCACAACCCTAAAACATGTTCTATGATGTCATTTTACAGATAGAGAAAACCAAGGTTATTTAGAGGATAAGCAACTTTCCCGAGTGAACAAAAACAGACCTAGGATAAATTCAAGTCTACCTAACTATAAAACCAGTGTCCACAAACACTTGTCAAAATTATAAATACGTTCTCAGATTAAATATTATTATTTCCCCCTTTAAAGGACATATATGGGCATACACTAAGCCATGAAGTAAATGATAGATAATAGATAGATAGATGATAGAGATAGATCACACACATACTTGTTTCTTTCCAATTCCAACAGCCCACTCTGTTTTTTCCATGACTCTGAATAGATTATTTCTGTTACTTTGGATAGGAGGGTTGATTTCATAAAACAAAAAATAAAAATAAAATCTTTTATCACCTTTAGATATAAATGACTTGTTTTTGCAATTCATGTAAATAACGAAAATTCAAACTTGTTTCACAGTTAAAATTTCTTTCTTCTTACTTCCAGATGTAGATTCAGATTCAGGGGCCTAACGCTCACACACTTTGGTGTATAACCTATTTTTTGAAAAGGGATGCAAATTTTGAAATATAAAAGTAGTTACAAAAGTGAATATTTAGTGTGATGTCAGCAAGAGGGTGGATTAGGAAGCTCCAGTTCATAGAAGGCCGTGGTACTTACTGTAGTATATGAAAACCACAGAGGCACTTCAGACCATTGAACATCTAGAGTGAAGAGATTACAGGCCAAGGAATGCAATAGAACATTTAGAACCCCCTAGAAAAAGCTAGAGTGAGATATTTTGGGAAATTAAGACACTTAAAACAAGCCTGGAAACACACAGGGACAGACACACACACACAGAGGCCCAGACAGAATGCATACCCAGAAAGGATCTGAAAAGACATTAAGACTTCAACCCAGGCTAATGTCAAGGATAGGTGGGCCCACTAAGTAGTAACAGTCTTCCACATCAGTTTGCAAAGATGGGGAGAAGTGTCCACTTTTTTCAAATGCCCAATTTTTAACAACAACAAGAAAAAAAAGGCATAAAATGAAATTGGGAAATATGACCCATGTAGAGGAACAACATAAATGTTGTTATATATGTATATATAAATATATATATATAGATTTATATATATACACACACGCAATGGAATACTATTTAGCCATACAAAAGAATGCAATTATGTTATTTTCAGCAATATAGATGAAACTTGAGGTCATTATGTTAAATGAAACAATCCAGGGACAGGAAAGACAAATACCACATATTCTCATATGTGGGAGCTAAAAAAGTAGAACTCGACCGGGTGCAGTGGCTCACGCCTGTAATCCCAGCACTTTGGGAGGCTGAGGTGGGTGGATCACTTGAGGTCAGGAGTTCGAGACCAGCCTGACCAACATAGTGAAACCCCATCTCTACTAAAAATACAAAATTACCCAGGCCTGGTGGCGCATGCCTGTAACTCTCGCTACTTGGGAGGCTGAGGCAGGAGACTTGCTTGAACCCAGGAGGCAGAGTTTGCAGTGAGCCGAGATCTTGCCATGGCACTCCAGCCTGGGCAACAGAGAGAGACTCTATCTCAAAAAAAAAAAAAAAATCATGAAAGTGATTAATAAAATGCCAGATACCAGAGGATGGGAAGAGTGTGGGTGGGAGGAAGGATGAAGAGAAATTATTTAATGAGTATAAACATACAGTTAAAATAAATAAGCTCTAATGTTTGATAGCAGAGCGGGGTGACTATAGTTAGCAACAGTGCATTATATATTTTAAAGTAGCTAGAAGAGAGGGCTCGAAATGTTCCCAACACACAAAAATGATAAATACTCAAGGCAATGGACGCTCCCAATACCCTGACTTGATCATTACACATTCTATGCGTGTAAGAAATGTACCCACATATACCCCATAAACATGTAAAATATTATGTATCAATTTAAAAAAGGATGATTCCAAGTTAGTAACTTAGCTTCATACTTTAAGATACCATAAAAAGAATAAACTAAACCTAAAGCTAGCAGAAGCAAATAAATAATAGAAGTTAGAGCAACAGTGTGGAAGTTCTTCAAAAAATTAAAAAATAGAATTACCATATGATTCAGCAATTCCAGTTCTAAGTATATAACCAAAAGAACTGAAAGTAGGGTCTCAGCAATGTATTTGTAAACCAATGTTAGTAACAGCATTATTCACAAAACCTAAAACATGAAAGCAATGGAATTGTCCATCAACAGATGAATAGATAAGCCAAATATGACACATGCATTCAATGAAATATTCTGCTCTAAAAAGGAAGGAAATTTTGGCATATACTGCTACGTGGATGAAGCTTGAGGATATTAAACCAATGAAATAAACCAGTCACAAAAGATAAATACTGTATGATTCTAATTAACCCCAAAATAGTGTCTTCCTCTCAATACTTGCAAATGATCAGAGAGAGCAAAGAATTGACAGGGTTACCACTGGATGCTGAGGCCTAAGTAAAACCTGGGATACATAGTTCACTCATCCCAGCCATCCTGTGCTTTCTTGCGTACAACACTTCGGTGGTCTTTATCATACTTTGTCAGGATGGAGAGGCAATCATCTCTATTTGTGTAACTCCTGTTCCACTCTTCACAGGCCAAAGGGGAACAACTAAGACAGGGAGAAATCTTTTCTTAAAATACATTCTGTCCACTCCAAGTACTAAATGTTAGAAAAAGTAAATCCTTGACATAGTATTCATATCTTAAAATTGGCTAGTTACCGTGAATACTGCAAAATTTTAAAAATAGAAACATCAAAATCAAGTATTTATGACATTTCCTTAAAGGACCATCTCTCTCACAGCAGAGATCCATCAATATTGGTTGCTCAAGATTACAAATATGTGTATAAAAGGGTCAAAGCTATGAAAAGAGTAGTTTCTCAGTAAATTTAAAGCAGCAACGAAATACAAAATTAGAATAGATACAGCATCCTATATTATCAAACACATTCAAGCCAATTAGTTCATAACATCTGTTGATATTTATCCACAATAGTCTAAAAAAATCACTTTCCTGTATCAACGCTTGCTACCTCTAATTTTTACAACAAATCAGCAAGCTAGGTATTCTTTTGCCTATTTTACAGATGCGGAAATTGAACAATAGGAAGATTCAACACAATGTAGTCAGGATAAGAATGAATGAGAAGAGGCCCAGTCCTTAGGAGGAATTGTAACCAAGTTTCATCTGTAGATCTCCCAGTGATCCTCCAGCCTTGAATTTGTTTTAAGATCTATCTGAGTTAGTACTTCCCTACGAGTTTCTCAGAAGCAAATCCAAATCTTCCCTTAAGTAAGGTATTTATTTAAAGATATTCAAATTATTTCTACAAATAACTATATAGAGTTAAAGATTTCCAGGTAACAGAGAAACGAAAGACATCATGAGCAAGAGCCAACAAAAAAGAGAAGCTGACCCACAAAATATTTAAATTTTGTGTGATCAGTCTTTAAAATAAGTGATTGTACTATGTGCAGAGAAACAAAGGTAAGCTTGAAAATGTAACAGCAAACAAAAAATGATAAAATATAATATAGCATATTATAAACTAAAGAATGAAACTAAACTTCTAAGCCTAAGGTACAATAATCAAAATCAATTACTCAAAGAGTAGGTTTTACATTAGATTACATATAGCCATAAGGAAAATTTTAAACTAGAAGATAACTCAGAAGAAATCATCTAGAATATAGCATAAAAAGGACACAAAGGTGGAAAAATTAGAATAGTATGAAAAGATATAGTAGATTCCATGAGATCTAGCCTTTACTTGAAAAATTGTGGTCCCAGAAGAACAGAAAGTTAAAAATGAGGCAATATTTGAAGAGATAACAGCTCAGAGTTTTCCTTAACAAGGCAAAAGCTTCAACCTACAGATTCAAGAAACTCAGTGGTACCCAACAGGATAAATAAAAATAGATATTCAGCTAAATACATCAGAGTGAAACTGCTGAATATCAAGTCAAAGAGAAAATCTTAAAAGCAGCAGAAAATTTTTTTAAAAAGACATTACTTTTATTGAAACCATAGAATTACAACTGCTGTCTCAAAAGCAACAATAGCTGGAAAACAATGGAATGACATTTCCAAGGAAACAAAAGAAAATAATTGCTAAATTACTAGATCTAGGAAAATGCAGCTTAAAAATGAAGTTGAAACAAAGACATTTTCAGACAAACAATAATACAAGACTGCAGCAGACTGTACTAGACAATTAAGACAGGAGGCTTTGACATTAAAAAAAGTAATCCTGTTAAAAGACATGGGTTGATGGAAGAGATAAAGAGCAAAGGAAGATAAATTGGGATGGGAATAATTCCAAATGCAAATCAAACAATAATGTTTTATTTATATATGATTTTCTTTTCTATTTCTCTGATTACTAATAAGAATGAACATTTTTTGTGTGTGTGTTCATCACCATTCATGATGCTCCTTTAAGAAATGCCTACTCCTGACCTTTGCCTTCTTTTCTATTTGGTCATTTGTCTTTTCGTGATTTATCTGTTAGTTATTTATTTCATATAAATTATATCATTTTTAGTTATTTTTGCTGTGTTTTCATCTTAAAAGTTTTTATTTTTTATGAAGTTAAATGTATCAGTTTCCCTTTATAAATATAACTTTTACTCTAATGTTTAAGGAAACTTTTATATCTCAAAACTAAAAAGTAAAACTCAATGATGGTTTGATTTGCAGCATTAGAAAGGGGGGGTTGGAGATGGACTCTCAGTTGACAGCTTGTATAAGTGGATGGATGGTAAATCTACCCACTGAGAAAAAGGACACTACAACAGTACTAGGTTTTAGGGAAGGGGAGGAAGATTACAAATTTATTCTTGGCCATATTCAGTTTGAAATGCTTTTGAGTCTTCTAAGATTAATGCATCAAGAGGGAAAATGTTTACATGCATCTGGTGCCTCTACAAGGTTTCAGTGATGGAGATGTTATTTATTAATTATTTGTATGACAGGGGAAAATAAAGCCATGAGTGTAAATGAGCTCACCTAAAATGAGCGGAACAGTTGTTCTTAACTAAGGGTGATTCAAATGTCCCACGGAACATTTGATGATGTGTGTAGATATTTTTTTGTTGTCACAACTTGGAGGGGTGAGAGGGGAGTGCCTCTATCAGATAGAGGTCAGGGATTCTGCTAAACAACCTGCAGTACACAGGACAGCTACCATAATGAACCCCACTTCATAACAAGAAATTGTCCATTCCACAACATCGGTAGTGCCACAGTTGAAAAAGAGAGAACTCAAGAATCATCTGGGTGTTAGGTTTCTGTGCTCCAGGTTGGCTAACTGAGAGGTGAGAGAGCAGAGAGAAGAGGGCACAGGCCGTGTTTTGAACAGCATTTGGTGGCTGTGTAGAAGACGGCAAATTTTCTAACGACATTGAGGAGGAGCAATTACTAATTTAGGAGGAAAACCAGGAGTGTTAAGTCACGGAAACCAGAAACCAAAGAGAGAAAGTGAGCAGGGATGTCAAATTCTAGTGAGTATATTCAAGTTAGGAATAAAAAGTATCAATCAGACAGAGATCATGTAAATGAAGGTTTTGATGGCCTTACCAAGAGCTGTTTCAGTGGCGTGATAAGGGCAAGAAGGGAGCAAAGTCAGATCAGAAGGTCTTGAGGATTGAGTGGGAGATACAGAAATGAAATTAGCAAGAATAAGTAGCTCTTTCAAGATATTTGACTGTGAATGAAAGAAGAAACAGAGGTGTGAAGGCTTGGTAGAATAGTGAGATTTCATTTCTTTTCTTTTTTTTTTTTTTTTTTTAAGGAGAGATTTAAGAATACTTAAAAGCCAATGGACAAAAATAACAAATGCTGGCAAGGATGCAGAGAAAAGGGAACTCTTGTACACTGTTGTGTAATGTAAATCAGTACAGCCATTGGAAAACCATATAGAGTTTCTTCAAGAAATGAAAAAATAGAACTACCACACAGTCCAGTAATCCCATCACTGGGAATTGATCCAAAGGAAAGGAAATCAGTACATCACAGGGATGCCTGCACTTCCTTGTTTATTGCAGCACTATTCACAATAGTCAAGATAGGGAATCAGCCTGTGTCCATCCATGGATGAATAGATAAAGAAAATGTGAGTCGTACGCACAATGGAATACAATTCATCCATTAAAAAGATGAAATCTTCTTATTTGCAGCAACATAGATGGAACTGGAGGTCACTATGTTAAGTGAAATAAGCCAGGCACAGAAAGACAAATATTACATGTCCTTACTCATAATGTAGGAGCTAAAAAGTTGATCTCATGGAGGTAGAGAGGAAAATGATAGTTACCAGAGGCTGTGGTAGGAGAGATGGATGTGGTGAGAGGGATGAAGCAAGGTTTGTTAATGGGTACAAAAATACAATTTGATGGAAGGGATAGTTCTAGTGTTCAATAGCACAGTAGGGTGACTCTAATTAACAACATATCTTATATTTTAAAATAGCTAGAAGAGAAGACTTGAAATGTTCTTAACAAAGAAATGGTAAATGTTTGAGGTGATGGCTATCCTAAATACTCCAATTGATCATTACACATTGTATGCATGTATCAAAACACTGCATGTACCCCATAATATGTACAAATATTATGTATTGATACAAATCATAAAAATAAAAAAAATTAAATAGAAGCAGGGCTACCCAGGTGCCACCATGCTTGAGAGGCCATCTGTAGGTACCGTGGCCAGTGACCCCAGCTGAGGCCATCCCCATTAAGACATCAGCCATGTGAGCAGAGCCATGGCAGACCTCCCAGCCTGACCATCTGCCCGCTGAATTCCATGGAGTGACCTTAGTCAAAAGAGGTGGAAAAGAAGACTTGGCCAACCAAAAGGAGCTTGAATTTCTGACCACAGAATTCCTGACCATAAAATTATGAGCTCTAATAAAATGTTGTTTTTAAAGGCAAACAAACAATGACAAAGGCCAATGGAGTAGATCCAAATGAGGGAGAATGAGAGAAATGTACTAGAGAGATCCTGACAGTGCATGGATGTGGAGGATGGGAGAATTCAAGGGCCAGAAGGAAAAGATGACTTTAGATAGGAGGAGAAATGGCTCTGCCAGTGTAATAGGGAGAGAGAAGATGGAATGTGTTATGTGTAGGTGGATGTGTGTGTAGGTTTAGGATCGATACTTCCAATCTAACAGCTTCCACTTTTAATCTAAAGTAGGAGGCAAGTTCAACTGCTGAGAATTGGGAAAGAAGTGTGGAATGAGACTGTACAGAGTGGAGATAGTTTTTAATATGCCTTGTGTTTGGTAGAATAGTCAGTGATAAAAGAAAGGTAACAAGATAACACGATCCTCCATCTCTGTCTAATTTCAGTCACCATCTCTCCCTCACTCTCTCCCATTTCCTCTCTCCCTTCTTTCTCCCTCCTTCCCTTTTCCCTCTCCCTCTCTGTCTCACCTCTCAACCAACCTGGAGCACAAATACCTAACAGCCAGGTGATTCTTGAGTTCTCTCTTAAACATCAAGTGTTAATAGATTTTTCATCCCACACAGGACATAGTTACACAGAAGACATTTCAGTGGAACACTTATTCTCCGATTTTTCTGCCTTAGGACCACATCTTTACATTTTAAGTTTCTAACTTGTTATACAGTCATCAGAAATATGTTCAAATGAATCCTCTATAAAACTCACTATTTTAGACCATCGCTACTCCATAAAGTACCTGAAATGAATGATAACCTAACACAATAGGTCTCTGCTTATTTCTGCTCCTCAGCAACCAATGATATCTTCCCATGGCTGTCACAAGTGATAGGCTTAGTGTAGTCAGATTCACTTCAATTCTGATTCCTTTAATTCTAATTTCTGTGAAAGAAATTTGAGAAACTTACTTAAATTCCCCAAGACACTGTTGACTAATCATTAAATGGCCATTATGATAACTGTCTTTCATAGGTATTGTGAGTATTAACTACCTAGATACTTAAAGTGATCATAATTTCTGATTCAAGCTAATTGTCCTGGCATAATTATTAACAATGTCTTCTTTCTGTTCTTTTTTTTTGTGCTTTTTCTTCTTTTAACTTTTATTTTAAGTTCAGGGGTACATGTGCAGGTTTGTTACACAGGTAAACTTGTGTTGTCATGGGAGTTTGTTACGCAGATTACTTCATCACTCAGGTATTAAGCCTAGTACCCGTTAGTTATTCTTCCTGATCCTCTACCTCCTCACACCCCTCACCCTCTGGCAGGCTCCAGTATGTTTTGTTCCCCTCTATGTGTCTTAAAATTGCCCAGATTTAAATAGCAAGTTATATGTTTACCCCTTAGGGCCACCAGTGTGTTTATAAATGTTTAAAAACTAGTTCTCCAGAGAGATAAAAAAACGATTTGCAGCATTTGTAAGTTTCCATGGTGTAAATATTCCCTCTGTGGCCAATGTGTTTCGCTTACAGAATTACTGAAAATTTAATAATTGGCTTCTGTGAGCTAATAAGAGCTGGCTCTAGCACCATTGAAAGTGGCTCTCAAAATTAGCTGCACATTGAAATGACTTATGTAGCTTTAAATATGTTGGATTCCACCTGTATTGGTCTGCAGTTAGCCCTGGCATCAGGATTTGTAAAAGTTCCCTTGGTGATTCTGCTATGCAGCTAATCTTAAGGACCCTTGCCCTATACACCCAGCCTATGGTAAGTGATCAATAAGAGGTGGCCATTTCCATTGGATAGGCTCTTCTTGTGACAATTTTCTCTTGAATGACTTCCTCTCTTTTCTCTCTGGCTTGAATGTAAATGTTAATAAGTAAATTTGGGAAACTATTAAAACCAGAATTCTGAAAGACTTCTTGATTCGGGTCTTTCTTCACGGATCACTCCCCACTAGAAAATAAATGTGTTCTTCTGTCAACCTGTATGCTAGTCTACTGAATTTTCACCACCTTTTCTATTTTTACTTCTTAGCTTTACCCATCCTGAAACTCTCTCCTTGAGAGTCTCATGTGATATGAAAGTGGGAAACACAAAGTGTGGAGGTCACCCAAATGGATAGCAGGGTCATGATGTGGACAAGGCACACGAGAATGTCCGTGCCATGAGCTATTGAGGATAAGAAGAAAGCAGGAATTCAGTCATAGGCAGGAAATGGCAAACCACTCCCAAGGGACAGGAACAACTTGAAATTGATCAGATATGGATTTGATATTGAAAGAGGTCTAATCCAGTTGTTGAAACATGGCCACAGAGTCTGCAGGCAAGCATGCTATTCTAAGAGATGGGAGATGGCAATCACTCTTTTTCTGGCCAGTCTATTGCAAGGGTGAAGAAGTTTCACTCAAAAAGTCTAAAATATAAGATTTTTATTTTCAAGTACTTAAAACTCTCTTCTTTCTTCGTAGAGATAGATATTTTATGATGGTAAATTAGTCCCTGAAAGTCCCTTAAGTTCCTTAAGCTTTATAAATTAGTTTTCTAGTCAAGCAGTAGTTCCTATGCTGTGTTCTAGATAAGGTTAGCTCACAGGTGGCAAGCTGTGCTATGTCACCCTCCTGAACAAAGAGGAATGTTGAGTGTCTATATCCCTTCCTAAAAGTCCTAATGTTGACTTCTGTCACATTTACATTTACATTTTATTAAGAGACCTACATCATAGTAATTGAGATATTGTTAAAACTTGTTAAAAGACTCAGCTCTAGATTATCAACACAGCTTTGCAAATTTGTTGATAAACCAAAGATATAAGTTCTTCTTGAGAATACCTTCTGCAAGACTGACTAGGGAGCCTGGTTTATATCAAAATGGGCATTATAGGAAAGAACAAGATAAGAAAATGGCATTTAGCATTTATCAGAATTTGGTGTTTTAATTTATGAATTATATAATTCAGTTTCAACACAACAAGTGGAGTAAGAATTATTGTTCCCAATGTACAGATAAAGAAGTTGAGGTTATGCATAGAGTAATCACTAGGACCAAGATGAGAACCTAAGCCCCCTGTTCTCTGTCAATGATACATCATTATTTCATGTTGCCCCAATTAAATGAACAAATAAGGCTTTTGAGGAGGAGGCAATTCCAGCTATGGAAAGATTAAATCCAGAGCTTGAAAACTGAGTATGCATTCAGTCTTCTGCTACTTTTCCTTCACCATGCTGAAATCTGCAGGGGACAAAGAGATTGTTAGTATGATCTTCATTCTCAAGGAACAAATATTGGTTTAAAATGAGTCAGAGGACAATACAAGATCATCAAAACAAGTTCTGAAATGTGTGGTACAGATGCAAGGAACTTTGGGACTCTGAAAAGGAGAAAGAGGTCAGTGTGGCCTGAAGGCCTTGAGATGGGATTTGTTGGAGGAAGTAGGAGTAAGACAGGTTTTGGAACTAAGTAATATTTAGACAGCTGGAGGAAAGCAGGCCAGGAGAGCCGCTCCTCAGCTAAGCAGATTTGTAATATAGCAGATCTTGTTCAATCAGCAGATGATGAGATTATGTTATTATTTCCTTCCTTCCAGGGGAAATTTATGGAAAGATGTCCTCCTGCAACTGCTGAAAATGCAACATGCTGCCCAGGTCCTGCTCAGACCACTGACAACTCAGAAGTTAATACTCAGAGTGGAAAGGTGAGTAAAGGCTGTTTAATGACCACCCCATGAAAAGAGTCAGAATTACATCCCTCTTGATTCCTGTTTCTTTCTGAACAACATAAATGTAATGTAAGCCAAGCTAATACATGCTGTTTTGTGGTATATAATGGGTTTTCTGTAGCCAGATGTGGCGCTGATTATTATTTTTTTTCTGCAAACCTGTGTTACTTTCAGCGTAGCAAAGTGTAGTACATGAGCAAGCGTTTCAAGCCAGACGGAGTTAATCATCTCTGTCACTGAATTGGAGCTCACGGTCTGCTGGACAACTGTGCTGAGTGGAAAGGAAGCCTCGATGGCTAAGTCACTTGTCCAACCTCAGACACTGGCAGATCCAGGATTCAAACAGCTAGACTCCAAATGTGTTTCCTTTAACCTCTTTTCTACCTTTTCAACTTGATTCCACACATCACCACTGGGAAAGCTTAGGTGAGTAAGTCATGTGGGCTTTGGTTTTTTCATCTGCACGATGGATAGACTGAGACCTTCTTCCCTCATGCCTCTGAGGATGACATAAAAAACCCACAAAATCCCTAGTCCACTTACTTGCTCACAGATATTTACTGAGTGAGCATCTGATTTCCATCCCATTGTCACCTTCTCCCTAGCTGTCCAGACACCCTGCTTGCCTGGCCAATGCCACCAAAGAATGGAACCTGCTTTTGTTCCACACTCCGTAGCCAGAAAAAAGAGACAGTTGTTCTGGCATGTTATTGTTTGATTTTATTTTACCTCAGGGATTAAAAAAAATGACTATCAATTATAGCAACATCAGGTAGAGGGTTTGGTATACATTTCCGATGAGCTTAGATTTCTCTCAAATTCTCATACTTTTAAGATTTATTTTTAAATGTGAGCATTGAAACTTAACCAATCCTTTAGACTCTTACTCAACAAGGGATTCTAAAGAACATTTCTCAGTAGGAATTAATCATTTATTTTGAAACTACATATCTAATTTGTCTACTATGGGAAGGATATGGAAAGAGAAAACCCAATTCTTTTTATTTTTTGGAACAGCTGGGTCCCCAAACCACCAGCAGCTGCTTCACAAATTGCCTAGCCATTAAGTAATTATTTCCTCATCATAAGAGCAGCTGGAAGAGCTAGTCTCTCTCCCTCCCCAGTGCAACTCCCACTTCCTTCTGCCTCCTCCACCCTGTCCTGAAATGGGCAGGCCAAGAGGTATACGGTATTGGTTTTCTTTACGTAATTGAAGACTGGAATTGAGCACTCTGATAGCTGATTATTTTTCAACAGCGCTTACCTTAAAGGCAACAGAGGATGACTTGGATTCTTGTGATGCTAGATCTCTACGTGACATGAAATGTTGATATCTAGGCATGTAGGCCACTTCCCTCGTTTTGTTGGTAAGGAACTTAAGTGCAGAGAAAT